>NC_000011.10:100808788-101111818 GCF_000001405.40 Homo sapiens | reverse complement strand
AATCCAATCACTTCCAAATTTCTATCTCCAGCCCAGACCTTTCCCCTGAACTCCAGACTGAATATCTCAAACCAACACATCCCAAAGTTGGCTCCTGATCTACTTAGGGTTTTCTCTGGTAAGCCAGTGTTCTTTTGGTCCTCAAGCTATCTGCCTCAGAATCACCTGGGTACTGGTTTGAGATGATTTCTGCACCTCGCCCCAGGTAAGCCAAGTCAAAATATCTAAGAAAGGGACCCAGAAATGGCATTTCAGCTAGCTGTTTGGTTGTTTCTTAAAGTTCTGCTTGGCTCAGAGGGGAGCCAGATACAAAGCTGAGAGGTGAAATGGTTGGCTTTGTTTTTGAGAACATTAACTCTAGAAGCAATGGGGAATAGAGGCAGAAGGTCATGCCAGGGAGATCAGACCTAAGATTATTTAAAATACTCTTTGATCGAGATCTGGGGGCCTTCAGTCTTATGCTGAGAAAACACTACTTTTCATTCCCTAAAGCAGTGAACCTGAAATATAGAAGGCAGGCAGGCTGTGGCCCCTACCAAGAATGCTCCTTTCTCTAGGAAGAATTCTAAAAAATGTGAGAGGCTAGGGAGGGAGGTTGGAGACTTCCACTTTTTGTGTCCTTACTATATACCAGGCACTATAGTAGACACATTATATGTATTTGTTATAGGCATACCTTAGAGATATCGCAGGTTCTGTTCTAGACAACTACAATAAAGCAAATATTGCAATAAAGCAAGTCACACAAATTTTTTGCTTTCTGGTATCTAAAAAAGTTATGTTTACACTATACTGCAGTCTGTTAAGTGTGCAGTAGCTTTATGTCTAAATAAACAATGTACATACCCTGATTGAAAATACTTTATTGCTAAAATTGCTAATGATCACATGAGCCTTAAGGGAGTTGTAATGTTTTTGCTGGTAGAGGGTCTTGCCTTGATGTGAATGGTCATTGACTTATCGAGGTAGTGATTGCTGGAGGTTGGGGTGTCTGTGGCAATTTCTTTAAATAAGACAACAGTGAAGTTTACCATATCCATAGACTGTTCCTTTCACAAAAGATTACTCTGTAGTATGCAATGCTGTGTTTTACCCACAGTAGAGCTTCTTTGAAAATTGGAGTCACTTTTCTCAAAACCTGCTGCTGCACTATCACCTAAGTTTATATAATATCCTAAATCCTAAATCTTTTGTTGTCATTTCAACAATGCTCACAGCGTCTTCACCAGGAGCAGATTGAATCTCAAGAAACCGCTTTCTTTGCTCATCCATGAGACAAGACCCCTCATGTGTTCAAATTTTATGAGATTTTAGCAATTCAGTCACATCTTTGAACTCCACTTCTAATTCCAGTTCTTTTGCTATTCCTACCACATATGCAGTTACTTCCTCCATGAAGTCTTGAATCCCTCAAAGTCATCTATAAGGGTTTGAATCAACTTCTTCCAAACTGCTGTTAATGCTGATGCTTTGACTTTCTCCGATTAACCACAAATGTTCTTAATGACATCTAAAATGATGAACGCTTTCTAAAAGATTTTCAATGTACTTTGCCCAGATTCATCAGAGGAATTACAATCTATGGCAGCTGTAGCCTAATAAAATGAGTTTCTTAAGTCATAAGGCTTGAAAGTCAGAATTACTCAGTGATCCATGGGCTGCAGAATAGATGTTGTGTTAGCAGGCATGAATACATTAACCTTCTTGTACATTTCCATCAGAGCTCATGGGAATTTTTTTTTCTAAGCAGTAGGTCTCAACAGTGGGCTTAAAGTAGTTAGTGGACCATGCTGTAAATAGATGTGCTGTCACTCAGGCTTTGTTGTTCCATTTCTAGAACACAAGCAGAGTAGATTTAGCATAATTCTTAAGGGCCTTAGGAACTTCAGAATGATAAATGAGGATTGGCTTTAACTTCAAATGCCCAGCTTCATTAGCCCCTAACAAGAGAGTCAGCCTTTCCTTTGAAGCTTTGAAGCCAGGCATTGACTTCTCCTATCTAGCTCTGAAAGTTCTAAATGGCATCTTTTTCCAAGAGAAGACTGTTTTATCTACATTGAAAATCTGTTGTTTAGTGTAGCTACCTTCATCCATGGGCTTAGCTAGATCTTTTGGATAACTTGCTGCAGCTTCTACATCAGCACTTGCTGCTTCACCTTGTACTTTTGTGTTATGGGAATGGCTTCTTTCCTTTAACCTCATAATCCAGCTTCTGTTTTCAAACTTTTCTTTTACAGCTTTCATCCCTCTCTCACCCTTGATAGAATTGAAGAGAATTATGGCCTTGCTCTGGATTAGGTTTGGCTGAAGGGAATGTTGTGGCTGGCGTGATCCTCTATCCAGACCATTAAGCGTTTCTCCATATCAGCTATAAGGCTTTTTTTGTTTTGTTTTTTTGCTTTCTTATCATTCATGTGTTCACTGGAGTAGCACTTTTTAACTTCCTTCAAGAACATTTCCTTTGCATTTACAACTTGGCTAACTGGTGCAAGAGGCCTAGCTTTTGGCCTGTCTTGGCTTTTGACATTCCTCCCTCACGAAGCTTAATCTTTCTAGCTTTTAATTTAAGGTGACACATATGCAACCCTTCCTTTCACTTGAACATTTAGAGGCCATTGTAGGGTTGTTAATTGGCCTGATTTCAATATTGTTGTGACACAGGGAATAGGAAATCATGAAGAAAGAGACAAGGACAGAATGCCAATTGGTGGAGCAGTCTGAACACACACATTTATCAGTTAAGTTTATTGTCTTACATGGGCAAGGTTTGTGGCACCCAAAAACAATTACAGTAATAACATCAAAGATCTCTGATCATAGATCACCATAGCAGAGATGATAATGAAAAAGTTTGAAATATTTTGAGAATTACTAAAACGTGACAGAGACAGGAGGTGAACATGTGCTGTTGGAAAAATGATGCCCATAGTCTTGCTGGATGCAGGGCTGCCACAAACCCTGAATTTGTAAAACATACAATATTTGTGAAGTACAATTAAGCAAAGCGCAATAAGATACGATATGCTTGTATCTCCCTTAATTTTCAGCTAAGAGCTGTTTGAGAAGTTACTGCCATCTCCTTTTTTCAGATATAAGAATTAAAACAAGGAAGGAAGTTAACTTTCCTAAAGATACCTAGCCAGTTAGTAATGGAGCTGGTAACCAAACCCAGTTCTGGCAGACTCCAAAAATTAAACCGCTTTCACTAAAGCACACCACTGGGCACTGTGTTTGAAGCACGAGATGATATTAGCAACTGATTGAAGATTTATTGAAAAGACTTAAAACTCTTATTGTAGTCAAGTCGTTTAAAAATATTTTTTACTTTTAAAATTTATTATTATTTAGAGACAGGCTGGAGTGCAGTGGCATGATCATAGCTCACTGCAGCCTTGAACTCCTGGGCTGAAGTGATACTCCCACCTCAACCTCCAGATATTTTTTTAATAGACAAGGCTTTGCTTTGTTGCAGGCTGGTCTGGAACTCCTGGCCTCAAGCAATCCTCCCAAAGTGCTGGAGTTTCAGGCATAAACCACCTTGCCTAGGCTCATTTTTTTTTTTTTTTTTTTAGACGGAGTCTCATTCTGTCTCCCAGGAGTGTAATGGCACAATCTCTGCTCACTGCAACCTCTGCCTCCCAGGTTCAAGTGACTCTCCTGCCTCAGCCTCCAGAGTAGCTGGGATTACAGGTGCCCACCACCAAGCCCACCTAATTTTTTTATTTTTAGTAGAGACAGGGTTTCACTGTGTTGGCTAGGCTGGTCTCAAACTCCTGACCTTAAGTGATCTGCCTGCCTCAGCCTCCCAAAGTGCTGGGATTACAGGCGTGAGCCACTGCACCTGGCCAGTTCAAATCTTATATATTTTGGTGCCTAGACTTAAATAACATTTAGGAAAATGTTAATTAATTATCCATATAGTTCTACCTTTTTCTTTCTTTTTTTTTTTTTTTACAAAGCCAGTTTCAAGTAAGACTGGGGAGATTCTAGAAAGTTATAA
This sequence comes from Homo sapiens, assembly GCF_000001405.40. NCBI lineage: Eukaryota > Metazoa > Chordata > Mammalia > Primates > Hominidae > Homo > Homo sapiens. Next base: position 101,107,818 of record NC_000011.10, on the reverse strand, counting down.
CAGAATCTTAAGTCACTTGATATGCCTAAACAGAATTTGAAGAAATAATGAAGTTGAACACATTGATAAACTTAGGATTTCTGTAATCAGGAAGAAAAAACTAAACTTCATAGATATGAGGGAAGGAATTAACCATTTGCATGTATGTAACTGTTATAATCCTACATCAGAGTAGCACAAGGACATGAACAACTTTGTTGACAAATAGTTTTGTAATTTTTTAATGTTTTTTATGTAGCTGTCTTAAACTCCTTTCTCAATAGTATGTGAGGTCAAATGATTGTGGTTTCTTTTTAAAATTTTGCATGTAATGTGTAGTTCCTTACATTCTCTAAATGCTTACTGTTTAGCTAACTATGTTATTATGGATGTCAATTATAACTAAGTACTTCATACAATTTCACGTTTTATAAGTTAGAAGATATGTGAATAATTAGGGCATTTGGAAGAGTTCCAGAGAGATTTTTTTATTTAGAAAGAGAGGAGCAGAACAGCTTCAGGAAAGATAGATGAAAAGCTGATTCATTCAATTTAAGATAGTTGAAGGGAAGAAAAAAGAACACATTATTTAGAATGATGACATGAAGAACTTAATTTCCTTTTTTTACTTATACTTTAAGTTCTGGGGTACATGTGCAGAACGTGCAGTTTTGTTACATAGATATACACGTGCCATGGTGGTTTGCTGCACCCGTCAACCCGTCACCTACATTAGGTATTTCTCCTAATGCTATCTCTCCCCTAGCCCCCCATCCCCTGACAGGCCCAGGTATGTAATGTTCCCCTCCCTAAGTCCATGTGTTCTCATTGCTCAACTCCCACTTATCAGTGAGACAATGCGGTGTTTGGTTTTCTGTTCTTGTGTTAGCTTGCTGATGATGGTTTCCAGCTTCATCCATGTCCCTGCGAAGAACATGAACTCATTCTTTTTTATGGCTGCATAGTATTCCATGGTGTATACGTGCCACATTTGCTTAATCCAGTCTGTCATTGATGGACATTTGGCTTGGTTCCAAGTCTTTGCTATTGTGAATAGTGCTTCAGTAAACATATGTGTGCCTGTGTCTTTATAGTAGAATGATTTATAATCCTCTGGGTTTATACCCAGTAATGGGATTGCTGGGTCAAATGGTAATTCTAGTTCTAGATCCTTGAGGAATTGCTGCACTGTCTTCCACAATGGTTGAACTAATTTACACTCCCACCAACAGTGTAAAAGCTTTCCTATTTCTCCACATCCTCTCCAGCATCTGTTGTTTCCTGACTTTTTAATGGTTGCCATTCCAACTGCCATGAGATGGTATCTTATTGTGATTTTGATTTGCATTTCTCTAATGACTAGTGATGATGAGCATTTTTTCATGTCTGTCGGCTGCATAAATGTCTTTTTTTGAGAAGTGTCTGCTCATATCCTTTGCCCAATTTATGAGGTTGTTTTTTCCTTGTAAATTTAAGTTCCTTCTAGATTCTGGATATTAGTCCTTTGTCAGATGGATAGATTGCAAAAATTTTCTTCCATTCTGTAGGTTGCCTGTTCCCTCTGATGATAGTTTCTTTTGCTGTGCAGAAGTTCTTTAGTTTAATTAGATCCCATTTGTCAATTTTGGCTTTTGTTGCCATTGCTTTTGGTGTTTTAGACATGAAGTCTCTGCCTACACCTATCTCCTGAATAGTGTTGCCTAGGTTTTCTTCTAGGATTTTTATGGTTTGCAGTCTTACATTTAAGTCTTTAATCCATCTTGAGTTAATTTTTGTATAAGGTGTTAGGAAGGGGTCCAGTTTCAGTTTTCTGCTTATGGCTAGCCAGTTTTCCCAACACCATTTATTAAACAGGGAATCCTTTCCCCATTGCTTGTTTGAGTCAAGTTTGTCAAAGATCAGATGGTTGTATATGTGTGGTGTTATTTCTGAGGTCTCTTTTCTGTCCATTGGTCTATATATCCGTTTTGGTACCAGTGCCATGCTGTTTTGGTTACTGCAGCCTTGTAGTATAGTTTGAAGTCAGGTAGTGTGATGCCTCCAGCTTTGTTCTTTTTGCTTAGGATTGTCTTGGCTATGTGGGCTCTTTTTTGGTTCCATATGAAGTTTAAAGTAGCTTTTTCCAATTCTGTGAAGAAAGTCAGTGGTAGCTTGATGGGGATAACATTGAATGTATAAATTACTTTGGGCAGTATGGCCATTTTCACTACATTGATTCTTCCTACCCATGAGCATGGAATGTTTTTCCATTTGTTTGTGTCCTCTCTGATTTTCTTGAGCAGTGGTTTGTAGTTCTCCTTGAAAAGGTCCCTAAAACTTCATTTCTAAAAAAAAAAAAAAAAAAGGAATATGCTACCAAATAGGATTCTTTAAATCAATTGTCTCCTCCTTCAGAAAACATCCAGAACCTGACCTCTTATCACCACCTCCACTGACCACTTTGGTTTAAGCCACTCTTATTCCCCTTCGGATGTATTGCAGTGGTCTCCTGACAGTCTCATTTCTATCCTTACCTTCCTAGATTCCAGAGGTTGAGAGTCTGCCCTCGACTTAGAAGCCATTGTGATACTGTTAAAATATAAGTCAGATCATGTTAGCCGTCTGCTCCAGTGTCTCCAGTGGTACCATATCTTTTAGAGAAAAATCAAATTTCTTACAGTGGCCTTCAAGGCCCTACAGCATCTGCACTCTGCTGCACTCTGATTGTACTATCTACTACTCTTCTCCCTGGCTTAGCCAGCTCTAGCCTTACTCACATCCTCAAACAATCCCTGTCATCTCTTAGCATCTTAGCAATTTCTTCTTTCCTCTCTAATTCCTTTCCCCAACACTCCCCACTTCTCCAACCCATTCCAGCTTCCAGCTTCCAGCTTCCATGAGTATCCTGAAACATAACAAACTTTGGTTACTGCCAGTGTCTCACTTAACACATTCCCCCACTACAGTGTTGTCAAGTTGTTTCATTTAACACCAGTAACATTTAATATCAGTAATAGCCAGATTCTATCTTAGGAAAAATATGCCTAAAATTTATTTGCTGAAAAAAAAAGAAAAGAAAAATTTGGATAATAATCTGCTTTGAGTTATTACAAACACAGCAGTATCTGAGAAGCAAGACTGAGTGTCATAAGGAAACAACCAGATTAAATAAAAGCATAGCTGGATGAGATAAGAAAATACTGCAGTGTGATCCAAAATGCAGTAACAGAGTTAAAATCCATATTGGTCGTCATAAAGAGCAGGAAATAACACCAATTATGTAGAGTTCACATTTAAGGAGTTACTTCGGAATGAAGAGAAATTGGTAAACTGGTGAAAATTACACACTATGATTTATTGTTTTTATTATGTACCAGTCATTGTGGTAACATTTCATCTAATTTAGCTCACTTAATCCATATAACAGCCTTATAAAATGTTTATCTCTATATTATATGTGGGAAAAACTAAGATTTTGATTAAACAATTTTATCATGCTGCAGAAAGTGACAGAACTGAATTTGAATGAAAGTCTATTTGACTCTAAAGCATATGGCCTTATCACTATGCTGTTGGACAACAGATACGATGAATAGAGAGCACATATGCAACCCATAAATATCCAGTGATTCTGAAGAAGAAACTAAAAAACAAGGCAGCAAAAGTATTAATTGATTATAGAAAATGACTCTTCCTTATGTATCTTTTTTACGAGATCATTTCTACATTGTGTCACCAGCACCTAGAACAATGTTGGCACATAGTAGATATTCAAGAAATATTTGTTTATTGAACTGTCATAATTACTGTTAAGCATTTATTCTGTGTCTGTTATGGTGCTATAGATTTTATATACATTATTTTACCCTCAAAGCAACTTTTAAACTGTTATTTTATAGATGAGGATAATGTAGTGCCAAGAAGTTAAATGATCTGCTCAAGGTTATATAGCTAATAATAGGTGGTAGAACACGTATAACAGAAGTAAGTTTAGCAGTTAAATAAAAATTTTACTTTTTAGATCAAAAGGACTCACTGCATCCCAGGTAAATGTAATTTTAAAAAGCTAAAACTTTGCAATATTGGTAATTTTTTAAAATTTTTCATGAGAAGGAAAAACACCCTATATGCATTTAAGTAGGATTAATAAAACTGGTTAACTACTAAGACATAAAAATTGGGTTGACATTAGATTTCCTCTTTGAGTACTAAATGCTGAGATTGGCAAAAATTCCATCAGGTTGAGTTGCTATTCTTGGGTGAAGATAACATATATTCTTATATATGTGAGAGGTCAGGAATATGCCCAGTCTTTACCGAAGTACTTGTTTGTCTGATGGTTGGACTAATTTGGGATTCCTGTAGTGTCCTGTAGTTCAGGGTGAAGTTTAGTAACATGCGGGGGTAAGAGACAGGAGGTGCTATTCTCTGCCCTGCTGCTCACCAGTGTGCTGTATCCCTCCTCAGGATCACCCTTAAGGTCTCAGATGCTCACACCTGGTGTTCAGTGCCCAGTGGTCTGTTCTCTAGCCAGTATATTCTGTGTCGTCTTAGATTCCAGTCCAAAGACTATTTAGATCTGCTCCATCCTTGGGAATTTCCACGCACTTTATTATTTCTTCTAGGGCAGGGGTCCCCAACCTAGAACAAGCCTACGATTTGTGGGTCATACCATACTGACTTTCACCATTTCACTCCTTGAACTATTGAACATACATTATCATTTCTCCTGCCATTTTACTCACCTGCTGCTCACCTCCTGCTGTGAATCAGGCCACACAGCAGGAGGTGAGCAGCAGGTGAGTGAGCATTACTGCCTGAGCTGCACCTCCCATCAGACCAGTGGTGGCATTAGATTCTCATAGCAGCGCAAACCCTATTGCAAACTGCGCGTGCCAGGGATCTAGGTTGTGCTCCTTATGAGAATCTAACTAATGCCTGATAATCTGAAGTGGAACAATTTCATCCTGAAATCACCGCTTCCCCCAACCCCCCCCACCCCTCACTGCCCCCAGTCCGTGGAAAATTCGTCTTTCATGAAACCTGTCCCTGGTGCAAAAAAGATTAGGGACTGCTGTTCTAGAGAAATTAAATGTTTTTATGTCTACTTTGTTACAAGGTTACATGAAATAAACCAGTTAAATGCTTAGTATATTGGTCTCTAATATACTCAATAAGATTTTCCTTCTCTCCTTCACCCCACACCTTTTTCCTTCACTTTTATCAAAAATCCTTGGATCTTCATGAAGATATTTTAAAACCTACTGATTTGTTATTGTCCAGCTGTCTTTCACACTCTGCTAGATAGTCACTCTTCATTCCACTTTACATGACCATCCCCTGACTTACTAACGTGAAAAACTGGTCTGAACCTTTGTCTCATTCTGCATGCATCTTCAGAATATGCTGGATTCCAGAAAACATACAAAAAACTTTAAGGAATAGTACAGCGAATATCTGTAATCAACAATTTGAAGGTAAGTTGCAGACATCATGACATTTCACCTCTTAAGGCTCCAAAATTCATGTCCTAAGGACAAGAACATCTTCCATTACAACCACAATATTATCACCCCAAAATTTTAACATTGATAAAACAATTCTAATATTCAGCTAGTATTAAAATTTCTTCAGTTTTTCCCAAAATGTTTTGTATAGAATGTTTTTTTATTCAGGATCCAGTCAGGAATTGTGTATTTTACTTGGTTAGCAACTCTGTTTAGTTTTCTTTAATCTAAAAAGATCTCCCACCTTTTTTTGTCTTTCAGGACATTGGCATTTTTTTGGGAGTCTAGGCCAGCCGTTTTGTAGAAAGTTCCATAATCTGGCTTTGTCTGATTTTTCCCCCACATAATTATATGCCAGTTAAACGTTTTGACAAGAATCCTACACAGGCCAACGGTTCTCAGACACTGATCTCATGACCCCCTTATGTGCTTAAAAATTGCTACAAGCCCAAAGAGCTTCTGTATACGTGAATTCTCTCTCTCAGTATTTACTGTGTTAGAAATTAAAACTCATAATGTTTTAAAACTTTTTATTAGCTCATTTAAAAAACAGCAAACCCATTAGATACTAATTTTTCAAACCAAAAAATTTAATGACAAGAATGACATTGTTTTACATTTTTATAAGTCATTTTAATGTCTATCTTAATAGAAGACAGCTGGATTCTCATATCTGGATCTACAGTCAATCTGTTCCAATATGTTGTTTTGGTGGAAGCATGGGAAGGAAATGTGGCCTCACACAGATATGTAGTTGGAAAATGGAGGAGTATTTTAATTGTCTTTTCAGACTTGACAAGTGGTGGCCATTTCATTAGGAATTGCAAAAGGATGATTCTCTATTTCTATTATCCCTTCTGATTTTATCAGCTATAAATATTTTTAATAGTTCTCTCTCTCTTCCAAGAGGCAATCTGGTAATCTTAAAATACACTTAATAATGGAAAGCCTAACAGATACTTATTATTTACTTTTAATTTTCAGTTTTCAAAGTTGTTAAGTTTGTGCCCTAGTAATCTCCAGTGGTTTCCAGTGAGTTCCTCTTGTTTCTTTCATTCTTTCTCTTCTTACATATCATTATGTACTCATGTTTTTTAAAATATATATTCAATGTGTTTTAATTACTTGAACCAGTTCTTTTTGATGTTCAAGTGGTTTTAATTTTGGTTGGTGTGAATTATCAGTGGTCAATGAAACACAATTTTATTAGCCCTCAGTAAAAGCAAATCATCTGTCACAGCAAAGCATCCCAGGCTCAACTTGCACATTTCCTGCCCTAGTCCTGGATCAGTCATTTCCCCAAGGAGCTCTGGTTCGTTTTAGATGAAAATTATATTACATGTGAAAATCTGAATTCCTGCTGGAGTTGTCTTTACTTTTGGGCATTTTCAGTGAAGAGACCTAGAAAATACCTCTTTTTGAAAAAGTAAGGGGATCATGAGTTTATACCATGATTTCTCAACCTCACACTATTGACCTATTGGGCCACATAATTGTTGCAGGGGGGGATGTCCTGTGCATTATGGGATGTTATTAGCCTTTTTGGCCTCTCTGCAATAATACCTACCCTCTAGTTGCATAAACCAAAATTGTCTCCAGATATTGTGAAATGTCCTGGTGAGGAAGGGAGCAAAATTGCCTCTAGTTGAGAATTACTGGTTTATGTTTGTATTTCTAGCAAAATCAAAATAATTACTAGTTGTTTTATCTGTATGTATTGTGTGTGTGTGTGTGTGTGTGTGTGTGTGGATTCAAAATACTAGTATCAGCATTATTACCTCTAACAACAAAACCTGCTTTGTAGACTAGTTCTTCCATCTCCTGCATAAAATCTTAGGCCAGTCCCAAAGATTTTAATCAGAAGAACAATCTCATTCCACTAACCGTATTAGTCTGTTCTCATGCTGCTGTGAAGAAATACCTAAGACTGGGTAATTTATAAAAGAAAGAGGTTTAATTGACTCACAGTTCCACATGGCTGGGAAGGCCTCAGGAAACTTACAATCATGGCCCAAGGGGAAGTAAACATGTCCTTCTTTACAAGGCAGCAGGAGAGAGAATGAGTGCCAGTAGGGGAAATGCTAGACTCTTATAAAACCATCAGATCTCATGAGAATTCACTGATTGATCACACTGCTCATGATGATCACGAGAAGAGCATGGGGGGAAACCACCCCCATGATTCAATTACCTCCCACTGAGTTCCTCCCACAACATGGGGGGATTATGGGATTACAATTCAAGATGAGGTTTGGGTGGTGACACAAAGCCAAACCATATCAGTAATCAAAATGCCCAGGGAAGCATTATGCCAAATTTACAAATCCTCTTCTAAGTTTAGATTTCTTCTTTGCCCCAATTCAGCACTCACTGCTTTGAGCTTGAAGCCTAAAGGGAAGAACAAATAAGATCTGCTTCTTCTCTGTTTATGCTGCCTACACTCACCCAATGACAGCTGATTTTGACCCTTCCAGGGCCAACGTGTGGGAAGAGAAGTTAGAGAGCACAGTTTTACACAACAAGTAGGAATTTTAGTGTCACTGGGGTTATCTGTGTTTGGTGGGTGATTACAGGCTGCTCTTCCTCTAGTGGGATACTTTGGTGAGATTCATGGAGATACTTTACTGAGAGCCTCTAACTGTAATCCTGTAATGCTGTAATGCAGTAGACACCTCTCTTCTCTCTGGACATGACCGTGACCCTCTGCTTCTGGACTTCCGCTGACTGACCCTACACAGATTCTGTTGGATCACAATACTCTCTAGGTTGTCCTCTTAGCTGGAGCCAGTTTTTAAAAGAAAGAAACTTTTATTGATAAATATTTTCAGAAAAGCACTCAAAGATGTAGAGCTTATCAGTAGGTAAATGAAACGATGTTATTATCACCCAGACCAAAAAATTTAAAGATCATTAGGTTCCCAGAAGCTCCATTTTGCCCCTTCCAATCATTCCCCAAAAGTAACCGCCATCCCAATTTCTAACATGATAGATTGGTTTGAACTATTTTAGAACTTTATATTAATGGAATCAGATAGTATTTTTCTATGTCTGCTTATTTTACACAACATTATACTTATGTAGTTCATCCACATTTTGCATGGAGCTAGACATTTATTCTCATTGCTGTATAATAATGCATTGAATAAATAAAACCATTTGTTTACACATTATGCTGTAGGTGATCATTTGGGTTGTTTTCAGATTGAGGCTATTATGAACACTGCTGCTATAAATATTCTTGTACAAATCTTTTATTTTTTGCATGTGGACACACCTGTCCCTACAGATAAGCTTTTCATTTGCCTCTCCAAGGACCCTGGCAATTTCACTGGTCCTGTACCAGTCTTTGTTCCTTGGCCCAGGTTCCTATACCATGTGATAGTGAAAATTCACCTCCCATTAAAGGCCAATATTTTATTTTGTTTATGTTGTTTTTGGCATAAATGATTTTTGTCCTCACCCTGAATTTTGGACAGATTCCTGGCTGCCTGGCATTTTCTGTGTAGTGTTTTCTAGCCCTGTTTTCATTGCTAAGGCAGTCTTTTAAGGTTCTACATTTTTATGCATATAGTTCAGCCCTGCCACTCTCTTCCATTGGGACTGAAGTAATATATCCCATCCTCTCATGGGCTTTAAACCCCATTTCTTATCTTTTAGGCATTTCTTATATCTGTATCTGAAACTTTTTTGGATCACTGCAGAGTCCAGTTAAGTTTGTTCCTCCAGCTTTCATTTCTTTTTTCTTTTCTGGCTTATAGAGATTTACCTACCTTTTTTTCCAGACTGAAATTAAGCAACATGCTTCTATTATATTTTATCCAGTATTTCTGTGTTTGTGGTAGAAAGATTGCCCTCATATGGACCAGCTCATGTTGCTTCAAGCCCGTGACTTGTGGGTCATACCATACTGACTTTCACTATTTCATTCCTTAAACTACTGAACATATATTATTTCCTGCCATTTGACTATGTATTTTCCCCTTCTTTTCAAAAATGCCATGAAAAATTGTGAACTCTCTCAGACCTAAGTGAACTATGTTCACTTGTGCTCATATTGAGAAGCAACACAAACAATATAGGTCTCTTATTTTACAGGTAAGTCCCTTTCTTGTTTCTAATAAAGATATTTTATTTCCTAATAAAGATATTTTATTTCCTTTAAAGTGGAATTTTGTCATCTAAAATTTTTGTAAGTCACTAGGCAAATAAAATGATCTAATCACATTTTGATAGTGCTTTTATTTTCACAGAGTATTTTTTATTAAGAGTAACACTTGGGGCTGGGCACGGTGGCTCACGCCTGTAATCTCAGCACTTCAGGAGGCCGAGGCAGGAGGATCACAAGGTCAGGAGATCGAGACCATCCTGGCTAACACGGTGAAACCCCATCTCTACTAAAAATACAAAAAATTAGCCAGACGTGGTGGTGGGCGCCTGTAGTTCCAGCTACTCGGGAGGCTGAGGCAGGGGAATGGCATGAATCCAAGAGGCAGAGCTTGCAGTGAGCTGAGATGGCTCCACCGCACTCCAGCCTGAGCGACGGAGCGAGACTCCGCTCAAAAAAAAAAAAAAAAAGAGTAACACTTGGAAATAATCTTGTTAGACTTCACATTTAATTATGGTCTATTACTATAAAAAGGTGAGAAATTACTGAATAAAAAGCATTCTGTAAGAAAAAAAGTTAAAAGGTGGTAAAAAATCAGAAGCAAGTGACTATTTACTATATATGACAATAAGTGACATATGTCTTATACTGTTGAGTATAACTATATTTACAAATATAAGCGAAACAATAGGTATAATTGTATATACACCTATCTAAAAAATATTTATCAAGCTGTATTTTACACAAGAGTTAAAAGTATCAAACTGAGTAGTTCCTACTCTTATAGAACCTAGTAGCTATAGACACAAAGTATACAATAGGAATACATTGAATGTGCAGTTGGTACACAGAAGAAATGTCTAAAGCCTTTATGAGAGCAGTCAGGTAAGACCAGATGAGGGGAGCAGTTAAGCCAAGGCTTGAAAGACGAGTGAGATTTTGTTAAGTTGATAAATTGGAAGGAAGGGAGGAAAGTCATAGAGGCATGAGAGAGTTTGGGGGTAATCCAAGGATGTTAGTACTCTGGAGCATAAAGAACATGGGAAAGAGTATGTGATTAGAAAGAAAAGACATAACAGTTTGAACTCACCCCCTGCTTTCCCCACCCTAAAATAGATCAGTTTTGCAAGGAGAAAGAAGCATAGTGCTCTATTAAGCTCCCCAGGTTTCAACAGGGGCAGATGATGCATATATTAAGGGAGAGAGCTAGATAGTGGCTCCTAGTGGGGTGAACTCCCCTATTTATCATTATGCCATGTAACCTGTTTGTGGTGGCTTATAGCTTATAAGTGTTCCTAAATGTCTTATAACTCCTGGTGGTGATAATGTAGGTAAACAGCAAAGATGGCAGCAAATGGAATGCTCTGAGTGGTTTAATATAGTGACGTGTTTTACACTTGTTGTAGAATCACAATGTTATGTTGGACTGAGGAGAAGAAATAATACGCAATTTGAGCCATCAACCTACGGTTTATGAGTGAGTGAGTGGATCTAGACAGGGATGTGTTTCTCAAAACCAGAATATAAACTGTGGGCTGTTGTCTGAAGAAAATGGTAGCAACTGATGTTATGTTAGATTTTCATCTTTTTCTAGATTTCCAGGAAAATGTTGTGACAGGGCTAATGCACTTGTGCCTGACCTTTCTTCACCTGCATATACAGCCAGGTACCTGAAGTAGCGAGTGGCTCCCACTGCATTCATTGCATTCTTGGTGGCTCTGAGTCCTGGCCATGCATTATGGTTCAGAGGCAATGCCTGGGCCCCATGCCAAATTCCCTTAGTCGGCTCTAGTTGGAACTGGCTGGCTACAACATTTCTTTAAGCCAAAACATTGCTTGAGAAGATAAACCTTTAACTGTACTCCCCATATTTTGTTTGCATGATAATGCATCTACTTTGCAGTTTTGATGGCTCATCACTTAATGTTAAAGATGATGAAAAGTTAGAGTGAATTGAGCTTCCAGATTTCTTTAAGCCATTCCAGCCTGTCACAGGCAGTCTACAATGATATGAGTCGTGCCAACCCCTCAAGGTCGTGACTTCATGCCAGTGCCCTTAATTATTAAAAATTATCCTTCCAACTCAAACTTTAAATATTGGACATCTAAGTCATTTTTTCTTCCAAACTTATAAGAATTGCATTCTGTTTGGTAACTATAATTTCCTTATTTATACTCATGTTTAAATTTATACTTATGTTTAAATTTATTTGGTACTTATCATCAGTCTCTTCATACCAGACTTCCTACCTCATACATTGTCTGCTATAACGTATCTGTTGTTGACTGGATTACATCTTTTGGAAGAGCATACTGGGGTCTTATTTCCCAATTTCATGCAAGTTTGAGAATATCTTTAAGTTGCCTTTAAAACTGAATAACTTGACTAGATATAGACTTCTTGGACCACATCTAGAAAAAATCTAACTATATTTGAGATTTAGATGTGTGATAATCATAATTATAATAGACATTTGTTAAGTACTTGCTATGTGCCAGACTATTCTAAGCTCTTACATGAGCTTGTGTATTCCTTAGATCCAATCCAAGGTACTAATGTTATCTTCATTTTAATTGCCAAATGTCATCTAGCTACTAAGTGATGAGATTGACATTCACACTTAAACAGTAACTTTCTATACTACCTCTCAAGATAATTAACCTAAAATGTTTTAACTGTGTGACCTTGAGCATGTTATTTAACTTCTAGATGCCTCAGTTAACTCTGTATAAAATGAGAATATTAATACCTCCAAAGGTTGCTTTGATGATGAAATGAGTTAATATATGTCAATAGCTCATAACAATGCCTGGCACATAGTAAGTGCTTAATAATTGTCTGTTGTTCTTTTATTATTTTTATTTGTGGATAGTAAGTTGCAGATCTGAGCTTTGAACAAGCAGTCTGGCCTCTGTAACTTTGCTCTTCGGTACTACAATGTAGTGTCAGCAATTAAGATGGCATTTTAATTTAGTGGGGGAAAACATGGATTAGTCAGTAAATAGTGTTGGGATATAGTAGATACTCAATACTTGTTGAATGAATGAGAGTTTTATAAAAGTATAAATACATTAACTTAAATATTAACAAATAGATATTAAATACCATTTAGATTTGTATAGACAGTTTGGAAATACTTTAGTCTGTTCCACTGCAATAAAAAAATACCTTAGACTGGGTAGTTTATAAATACAGAAATATTTTCTGATGGTTCTAAAGGCTGAGAAGTCCAAGATCAAGGTGGCACAGATTCCATGTCTGGTAAAAGCTTGCTGTCTTCTTCCAAGATGGCGCCCCTTGCTGCATCCTCACATGGCAGAAAGGATAAAAAGGACCAAATTCACTCCCTCAAGCCCTTTTAAAAGGGTACTGATTCCATCCATGGAGGCAGAGACCCCACCTCTTAATATTGTCACATTGGGGATTAAGTTTCAATATGAATTTTGAAGGGGACACAAACATTCAAACCATAGCAAGAAGGAAGCAAAAATGAGAATAGATGCATGATTATCAAATTGTAGGTTATTTTCTGTTTTGAATTTCCTTACGTTCTTATATAATTTCTCTAATAATACAATTCATGATATAATTTGTACAGATAACCACTTAGTTGTATTTTGTATATATTGAGTTTGAGGTACCTAGAAATATGACTGGAAGGTCAGAGCTCATATTGAGATTTTGGGACCATCAGAAGATAATGAGACAGACTACCCACAAAGTGTGTGCAGTGGCACACCACATATAAGGAATAAGCAAAGTAAGAGGAGTTGACAAAGGGAATTTAAAAGGAAGTGCTGGAAAGACAGGTCAAGAGTCAGAAAAGAGAGGCCCCAAAATATGAATCAATGGGACAGGTGGGGAAAGAAATTACCTGAAGCAAATGATTCAGGTCAGGAAAGCATTCACAGCATTTAGGAATGAAAAAATATTTGATGATGTTAAGCCATTTTATAAGAATAGTGAATATACAAGTCAAATTACCACATAGGAATAAAGGAAGTTAGGTAGAAACAGCAAATGTAGATGATGTTTTCGACAACTTTGAGGACCAAAAAAAGGGGAATGTATTCAGGGAGAATCTAGAGTGAGCTAGGGTTCCTTTTTTTGGTGCTGGAACTTTTTTGGATGGAAAAATAATGAGAGAGCAGGACATCACTGGACTGGAGAGACTAAAGACTTTAGGAGAGAAAGGAGGAAATTGATGGAGCAAGACTTGAAAGCAGATAGGAAGGAATTGTTTGAAGGACAAAAGCAAAAACCATTGGTAAGGAGGACTCTTTGAGACACTGAATAAGGAGATGATATCGTAGGCCATTTTAGAAATGTAAGTGAGACAGATCAGCAGCATGCCAGCTTCTGGTGTTTAGATCAGACCTTTTTCCTGCGTATTTATGACCAAGGAGCAGACAGTAGGACAGCCTCTCTTCAAACAATTACATCTGCGTGCTCTATTTCTCGAAGTCTGTTTTCTGTATAGAGAAAACCTTGGTGGGCGTGGTGGCTCATGCCTGTAATCCCAGCACTTTGGGAGGCCAAGGCGGGCAGATCACCTGAGGTTGGGAGTTCGAGACCAGCCTGACCAACATGCAGAAACCCTGTCTCTACTAAAAATACAAAATTACCCAGGCGTGGTGGTGCATGCCTGTAATTCCAGCTACTCAGAGGCTGAGGCAGGAAAGTTCCTTGAACCCAGGAGGTGGACGTTGTGGTGAGCCGAGACTGTGCCTTTGCTTTCCAGGCTGGGCAACAAGAGCGAAACTCCGTCTGAAAGAAAAAGAATAGAAAATCTTGCTATTTTCTGTTCTCTCTTCTTGTGAGATATCAGTATAGGGTAGAAATAGATGATCAACTGATAGACTGACTTACACACACCTTGCTCTCACAGTCACTCCTATAGCCTAAATATATAACTTGTGGTAAAAAAAAAAAAAATTAGAGTCAAATCAGAAAGTAGTATGCAGTACACTCTGCTAACCTCCTGTAGGACTGGCACTATGTGCACAAAAGTCAGCAAAGATATGAGGCTTCACAGTTACCCTTTATTAGGTGAAGGCTTAATTCCTGGGACTCTAAACAAGAGATGAACACTATGTGAGTGTACATGAACATAAGTTTATAGAGGCATGCATCTTTAAGAAAATATTTGTGCTTTTCCAGAAATGCATGAGGTCAGGAACCTTCTTGATATCAGCTGTCACATATATAGGCCTTTTGGCATTTTTGCCCTTTGCCGTTTAGGCTAATCCTTTCCCCTGCTTGATTAAGTACATGTTTTAGGTACCTCTGAGTTCCTTTACTACCAACTTTGGCCAGAAGACTCTGATTTTAATCTTAACTAATGTAAAATACTACAGGAAAATCCCATGATCTTTTAAAATTATGTGTCATGCTTCAGCAGTATAAGTAGGCTGAAGTAGGCTGATGATATTAAAAGACTCACAGTCTGTTTTAAAGAAATTTATTGGGAAAAAAAGAGAGTGTCAAAAATAGTAAATTAACGTTTACATGTTTAAGCTGAATTTTTTTATTTTTGTTAAATCTAAATAAATTAGATTGTTCCGTGCCTTATTAACATATTTGTGGTTTAAAAATCATTATTGAATATTAAATTCATGTGCCAGACCTTTTTAAAGGCATCCATAGTTTCCTCTACACAAAGTGACCCCAGGGTGATGTGCGATGTGTATTGTCTATACTTCTATAAAGTTTCTCCTCTTTATTGAGTACTTCTATCTGTTTTAAGTTCTTCCTTTATCATTATTTCTGTTCAAGGTATTTTCTAATGTGTAGTCAAAATAAGGCAGGTATTAAATTCAGTACAATAAGTGATCTTTTTTACATGCTCTTCCATTGATTCCTTAAAGAGAGAACCAGCTCTGGGATTTTTCCAATAGAACTAAGCATTTAGATTTTTTTTTAAAAGGTCTTTTCCAGAGGCCTCTTCAATTCTTTAGTCTGTATCTGTTTTCTTGAAGGCATCAATGTCAGAAAGAAAGGTTTTACTAGAGTTTGACCACCTGGTACAACTAATGCTTATCAGAAACGTGTAGCTAATCTTGAAATGACATCTAAAGGCAATCTGATACTGACACCATTAAGAAGATAAACAGAAATCTCTTGCAAAAGATTTTTAAAGGAGCCCTAGGATTGATTCTTCAGCTATGCTCACCTAATTTAGGCTCCTAAAGGCACAGGTAAAGTACTGAGCAGTTTTATAGCTTCACCAACATTCAGCTGTGCCAGGCAGGAAGCTGGCTGAGTCATGCACTTGCTGATGTGTATCTAGTCTCTATTTCAGTTGTCACTGCATAGAATTTCCAGTGAATCTTAGATATTGTAAATAATTTTGACTCATTTTGTTTTTTTAGGGCAGCACAACTACTTATGTGCTGGAAGAAATGACTGCATCGTTGATAAAATCCGCAGAAAAAACTGCCCAGCATGTCGCCTTAGAAAGTGCTGTCAGGCTGGCATGGTCCTTGGAGGTAATTCTGATGTTTTCATCAATAATATACTGTGTAATCTTTATACTATAAAACTGTGTGTCAGAAAATTGCAATTTCTTATTCATCTTTGTTTTTGTTTTTTCTGTCTTGATTATTGGCAGTGACTCTGCACATGTGAGTGTCTGAATGAAGCAACCAATACCATTCCATTAACTTTACAGTTTTCTAGCACATTGAGGTCTGTTAAGAGAAGAAAACTCAATTCATCTATATTGCCTATAAGTAGAGGTAATGGGCAATGTACTGACCTGTCATTAAGTAACATGTGTGGGAGTCTAGGCTTTGCTGCCCATCTCCTGTGTGACCACAGCTCTTCCTGGGCATCAGTCTACTTATCTGTAAAACGAGAGCATTAACATTCCTTTCAGCTCAAAAAATTGACTCTGCAAATTGGTCAGGTACATTGCTTACTAGCTTCTCCAAGTGATTGATTAAAGCAAGATTACTGTAACTGGGGTAGGAATCCATTTGATGAAGAGTTATATTAATAATTCCCTTTTCCCATATTTTTATTAGAATCTCTAAAACTTTCAGTAATATAGCACACATTTAAAAAATTAATGTCAGATAGTGACAGATAGTTTGAATGAAAACATAGCAGAGTGAGGGAGATCAAGCGAGCCACAGTTATGCAAGACACCCGTACTCCCTTGAATTTTTTCACTTAGCCACATCCTGCACAACACTGTCTGGGAATCGTAGCTTTTACATCTAGATATAACTTTTTAAAAACATAATAAAAATATTACATAATTGTTAAAGCTAAAAATGTTTTTTCAGTGCACTAACTATAAACAGCTTGTGTTCCATGGACGTTGTGTGTATTTTCCTTTGGGAAATGCTATATTTAGACCAATGCTTGTCAAGTTTAAAGCGTATACAACTGTCACCTCATTTGTTTTTGCAAATGTGCTGGACCAAAATTAATCACCCAGGTAACATACTGGGCACTTTACAGTAATTCATGTAATTAGATCACTTATAGAATTTTATAATTTCTTGATTAAAGATTTGTTTTCCTAAGTTAAGGGCAGTGATTAGGTTGACAGTAGTGCCTGGCTTAAGGAGGTGCTCAGTAACTTTCTATTAAATGAATAAAACCACAACCTCAGCAGATTAAAATTGTTTTTGAGTCCCACACCTCAATTACCACCTCTTTGTATTTCTGTTTCAACTCAGAAGTCTTAAGGAACCTCCTAAATTTTAGAAAATACAACTTTTTCACAAAATCACACATCTAGTCAATGTCGGAGCCAGAAGAAAGACCTGAAGGTATTCTGACCCTGGCGCAGCCATTGTTTTCTCCTTGGCATGCTTGCCTTAGAAAGTAGCAGAGCATCTAATGCTGACACTTAGATTCCATTAAGATCTTTAATCTTGAGTGTTTTCCCAATGACTTTAAAAGACTCTTCAATTTTATCAAAGAATGAAAATGGCGGAGTTCTGGATAGAACCTTCAGAATACTCCTGGGGATCAGCAATATAACCTAGAGAAATTTATGTTATCTTTTAATATTCTAGGGCTTTATTTATTTATTTTTGAGACAGAGTCTCACTCTGTCGCCCAGGCTGGAGTGCAATGGTGCAATCTTGGCTCACTGCAACCTCTGCCTCCCAGGTTCCAGCGATTCTCCTGCCACAACCTCCCAAGTAGCTGGTATCATAGGCACCCGCCATTACGCCCAGCTAATTTTTGTATTTTAGTAGAGATGGGGTTTCACCATGTTGGCCAGGCTGGTTTTGAACTCCTGACCTCAGGTGATCTGCCCACCTCGGCCTTCTAAAGTGCTGGGATTACAGGCGTGAGCCACTGCACCCGGCCTTTAGCATATTATTCAAGCATCTGTAATCCTTTATCTTCTCTAACCAAACTGCTTGTTACTTTAGCCTGTTATTCCTATGCTTCCCAAGCCATATTCTACGGGCTTCACAGCTATTGCTGCATTTTCATACCTTTTATATTACTTATTTGTTTAACTCTACTCCCTCCATCTCTCCCTCCTTTCCGTCCCTCCCTCCCTCCCTTCCTTCTTCTTTCCTTCCTCCCTCTTCTCCCTCAATCGCTTTCTAATTTGCACCCCATCCCTTTCTTTCAGTAACTGTATATCGAGCCCTTTCTAGTTACCAGATACTATTCTAAGTTCTGCGCATATAGCAGCAAAGAAAATGGACAAAATTCCTGCCCTCATAGATCTTACACTGTGGGAGGACGAGCAACAAATGTACATGTCAAATAATGATAAGTGCTGTGGAAAGATATTAAGCAGAGTTAGTGGGGATTATCAGGAAGCAGACTCACTACTAAACTCATTAGTCTAATATTTTTGTTTTGCTTAGCCTCTTCCTAAGCAATAATATCTCTGAAATAATGGATTTGATATGCCAGTTATAATTTTTCTAAAAGACATTAATATACATTCTTAACTATTTAAATATATATTCGATGTACCACCTAAAAACTGCTTGTATACCATAAATGATTATGTGTTAAACTCTGGGAAAGAGTGTATTAGACCATTTTTTTCCAGCTATCGCAGCTCTATTTATTTTTTCAGCTTTTATTTTAGCTTCAGTGGGTACATGTGCAGGTTTGTTACCTGGGTATATTGTGTGACACTAATGTTTGAGGTACAAATGATCCCATCACCTAGGTACTGAGGTACTGAGCATAGTACTCAATAGTTTTTCAACCCTTTCTTCTTCTTCCTTCCTCCTCTAGTAGTCCTCAGTTTCCATTGTTATGCTCATGAATACCCAATGTCTAGCTCCCACTTATAAGTGAGAACATGCAGTATTTGGTTTTTTGTTCCTGTGTTAATTTGCTTAGGGTCTTGGCCTACAGCTACATCCATGCTGCTGCAAAGGATGTGACTTCGTTCTTTTCATGGCTGCATAATATTCCATGGTGTATATATGCCACATTTTCTTTGTCCAATCCACTATTAATGGGTGCCTCAGTTAATTCCATGTCTTTGCTTTTGTGAGTAGTGCTGTGATGAACATGTGAGTGCATGTGTCTTTCTAGTAGAACAATTTATTTTCTTTTGGCTATATATCCAGTAATGGGATTGCTGGTCTAATGGTAGTTCTGTTTTAAGTTCTTTGAGGGCCGGGAGCGGTGGCTCATGCCTGTAATCCCAGCACTTTGGGAGGCCAACGCAGGTGGATCATGAGTTCAGGAGATGGAGACCATCCTGGCTAACACAGTGAAACCCCGTCTCTACTAAAAACACAAAAAAATTAGCCAGGCATGGTGGCAGGCGCCTGTAGTCCCACCTACTTGGGAGGCTGAGGCAGGAGAATGGCATGAACCTGGGAGGCGGAGCTTGCAGTGAGCTGAGTTCGCGCCACTGCACTCCAGCCTGGGCGACAGAGCGAGACTGTCTCAAAAGAAAAAAAAATGTCTTTTGAGAAGTGTTCAAACCAATTTCTACCGTGGCAGAACTAATTTACATTCCCACCAACAGTATATAAGTATTCCCTTTTTTCCACAGCCTCACCAGCATCTATTAGGTTTTGAGTTTTTTGAGTTTTCTTTTTTGAGACAGAGTCTCACTCTGTCACCCAGACTGGAGTGCTGTGGCACAATTATGGCTCACTGCAGCCTCAATCTCCTGGGCTCAAGTGATCTTCCTACCTCAGCATCCTGAGTAGCTGAGACTACAGGCACGCACCACCACACCTGGCAAACTTTTTATTTATTTTTTTTTTGTAACGATAAGGTCTCACTTTGTTACCCAGTCAGGTCTCAAACTTCTGGGCTCAAGTGATCCTCCCAAAGTGCTGGAATTACAGGTGTGAGCCACCATGCCTGGCATGAGTTTTTAATAATAGTCATTCTGATTGGTGTAAGATGGTATGTCATTGTCGCTTTGATTTGCATATCTTAATGATTAGTGATATGGAGCATTTTAAATGTTTGTTGGCTGCTTGTATGTCTCCTTTTGAGAAATGTCTGTTCAAGTCTTTTGCCCATTTTTTTGGTGAGATTTTTTTTTTTTGCTTGTTCAACTGTTTAAGTTCCTTATAGATTCTGGATATTAGACATTTGTTGGAGGCATAGTTTGTGAACATGTTCTCCTATTCTGTTGGTTGTCTGTTAACTCCATTGGTAGTTTATTTTGCTGTGCAGAAACTCTTTAGTTGAATTAGGTCTCACTTGTTAATTTTTGTTTTTGTTTCAATTGCTTTTGAGAACTTAGTTAGAAATTATTTCCCAAGGCTGATATCCAGAATCATATTTCCTAGATTTTCTTTTAGGATTCCTATGGTTTGAGGTGTTATATTTAAATCTTTAATCTACCTTGAGGTAATTTTTGTATATGGTGAAATGTAGGGGTCCAATTTCATTATTCTGCATGTGACTAGGTAGGTATCCCAGCACCATTTATTGAATAAGGAATCCTTTCTGCATTGCTTATTTTTGTCAACATTGTCAAAGATCAGATGGCTGTAGGTGTGCACCTTTATTTCTGGGTTCTATATTCTGTTCCATTGGTCTATGTGTCTGCTCTCGTGCCAGTATCATGCTGTTTTGGTTACTGTAGCCTTACAGTATAGTTTGGAATTGGGTAATGTGATGCCTCTGACTTTTCTTTTTGTTTAGGACTGCTGTAGTTATTTGGGCTCTTTTGATTTTATATAAATTTTAGAATAGCTTTTTCTAGTTCTGGAAAAAATGTCGTTGGTAGTTTGATAGGAATAACATTGAATCTGTAAATTGCTTTGGACAGTATGGCCATTTTAACAATACTGATTCTTCTAATCCATGAACATGGAATGTTTTTACATGTGTTAGTGTCATCTGTGATTTCTTTTAGCAATGTTATGTAGTTATCCATGTAGAAATCTTTCATCTGCTTAGTTATATGTATACCTAGGTATTTTGTGTGTGTGTGTGGCTATTTTAAATGGGATTACTTTCTTGATTTGGCTCTCACCTTGAATGCTATAGTTGTATAGAAATGGTACTAATTTTTACATGTTCATTTTGTGTCCTGAAACTTTACTGAAGTCATTTATCAGTTTTAGGAGCCTTTTGGTGGAGTCTTTAGGGTTTTCTAGTTATAAAATCATGTAATATGCAAGAGAGATAGTTTGACTTCTTTTTTTCATGTTTGAATGCCTTTTATTTCCTTCTCTTGCCTGACTGCTCTGGCTAGCACTTCCAGTGTTAACAGGAGTGGTGAGAGTGAGCATCCTTAACTTTTTCCAGATCTCAAGGAAAATTCTTCCAGCTTTTGCCCATTCAGTCTGATATTGGTTGTGAGTTTGTCATTTTGGTCTCTTATTGTTTTTAGGTATATTTCTTTGTTGCCTAGTTTCTTGAGGGTTTTTATCATGAAGTGGTATTGCATTTTATCGAAAGCTGTTTCTGTGTCTATTGAGATGATCATATGGTTTTATTTTTAATTCTTCTCATGTGGTAAATCATATTTATTGATTTGCATATATTGAGCTAACCTTCCATACCAGGAGTGAAGCCAACTTGATCGTGGTAAATTAACTTTGATGTTTGATTTGGTTTGCTAGTGTTTTGTTGAGAATTTTTGTGTCTGTGTTTATCAGAGATATTGTCCTATAGTTTTCCTTTCTCATGGTATCTCTTACAGGTTTTGGTATCAGGGTGATACTGGCTTCAGAAAACGAGTTAGGGAGGAGTCTTTCCTTCTCGATTTTTTGAAATAGTTTCAGTAGAATTGGTACCAGCTCTACTTTGTGCATCTGGTAGAATTTAGCTGTGAATCTCTCTGGCCAGGGCTTTCTTTTTGGTTGGTAAGTTTTTTATTACTAATTCCATTTGGAACCCAATATTGGTCTGTTCAGTGCTTTAGTTTTTTCCTGATTTAAACTTGGGACATTGTGTGTTTTCAGGAATTTATTCATTTCCTCTAGATATTGTAGTTTGTGTGTGTAGAGGTGTTCACAATAGTTATCTAAGGATCTTTCATATTTCTGTGGGATCAGTTGTGATGTCACCTTTGTCATTTCTGTTTGTGTTTATTTGGATCTTCTCTCTTTTTTTCTTTGTTAATGTAGCTAGCAGTCTATCAATCTTATTTATCCTTTAAAAAAATAACTTTTGGTTTTGTTGATTCTTTGTATAGATTTTTGGGTCTCAATTTCATTTGGTTCTGCTCTTTAGTTCGTCCTTTTCTTCTGCTAGCTTTAGGGATAGTTTGTTCTTGTTTTTTTTTTTTTTTTTTTTTTTTTAGTTCCTCTAGGTGTGATGTTAGGTCATTAATTTGAGATCTTTCTAACTTTTTGAGGTAGGCATTTAGAGCTGTAAACTCTCCTCTTAATATTGTTTTTGCTACATTCCAGAGATTTTGGTATGTTGTGTCTGTTTTCATTTATTTTAATTTTTTTTTATTTCTGCCTTGATTTTATTGTTTACTCAAAGTTATCCAGAGCAAACTTTTTAATTTCCATGTAATTGTGTGGTTTGTACAGATCTTCTTGATGTTGGTTTCTCTTTGTATTCCACTGTGACCTGACAGTATGACTGGCATGATTTTGACTTTTTAAAATGTACTGAGTCTTGGTTTATGGCCAAGGATGTGGTGAATCTTGGAGTATATGTTCTGTGTACAGATGAGAAGAATTTACGTTCTGTGGTTGATGGGTGGATTATTCTGTAGATGTTTATTAGATCCAATTGGACAAGCATTGAGTTTAAGTCCAGAATTTCTTTGTTAGTCTTCTGCCTTGATGATCTAATGCTATCAGTCCCCCACTATTGTTGTGTGGCTTTCTAGGTCCTTAGAAGTCCTTGTTTTATGAATCTGGGTGTGCCAGTGTTGAGGGCGTATGTATTTAGGATAGTTAAATCTTCTTATTGAACTCTTTATCGTTATGCCCTTATTTTTCCTTTTTTACTGTTGTTAAAGTCTGTTTTATCTAATCTAAGAATAGCAACCCCTGCTCTTTTTTGTTTTCTGTTTGCATGCTACATCTTTCTCCAACCCTTTACTTTGAGCCTATGGTTGTCATTACATGTGAGATGGGTTTCTTGAATACAGAAGATGGATGAGTCTGGTTTTCCTAGCTGGTTTGCCACTCTGTGACTTTTTTTTTTTTTTAGATGGAGTCTTACTCTGATGCCCAGGCTGGAGTGCAGTGGCGCAATCTCAGCTCACTGCAACCTCCACCTCCCAGGTTCAAGCAATTCTCCTGTCTCAGCCTCCGGAGTAGCTGGGATTATATGCACCTGCCACCACGGCTGGCTAATTTTTGTATTTTTAGTAGAGATGGGGTTTTACCTTGTTGGTCAGGCTGGTCTTGAACTCCTGGTCTCAGGTGATCCACCCGCCTCAGCCTCCCAAAGTTCTGGGATTACAGGTGTGAGCCACTGTGCCTGGACCCACTCTGTGACTTTTAAATGGGACATTGTATTAGTCCATTCTTGTGCTGCTATAAAGTACTACCTGAGACTGGGTAATTTATGAAGAAATGACATTTAAATGACTCATAGTTCTACAAGCTTAACAGGAAGCATAGCTAGGCAACGTCAGGAAACTTACAATCAAGGCAGAAGGTGAAGGGGAAGCAAGAATATCTTACCATGGCAGAGTAGGAGAGGTGGGTCAGGGGAGTGCCACACACTTTTAAATCATTATATCTTGGGAGAACCCACTCACTATCATGACAACAGCATGGGGGAAATTTGCCTCCATGATCCAATAACCTCCTACCAGGTTCCTCCCTCAACATTGGGAATTACAATTCAACGTGAGATTTGGATGGGGATACAGAGCCAAACCATATCATTCTGCCCCTGGCCCCTCCCAAAGCTTATGTCCTTCTCAGTTTTCAAAACACAATCATGCCTTCCCAACAGTCCCCCAAAGTCTTAACTCATTCCAGCATTAACCCAAAAGTCCAAGACCAAAGTCTCGTCTGAGACAAGGCAAGTCCCTTCCACCTATGATCTTGTAATATCAAAAACAAGTTAGTTACTTCCAAGATACAATAGGGGTATGGGCATTGGGTAAATACTCCCATTTTAAATGGGAGTAACTGGCCAAAACAAAGGAGATACAGGCCCCAAGCAAGTTCAAAACCCAGCAGGGCAGTCATTAAATATTAAAGCTCCAAAATAATCTCTTTTGTCTCCATGCCTCACATCCAGAGCATACTGATGCAAGGGATGGGCTCCCAAGGCCTTCAGCAGCTCCACCCTGTGGCTCTACAGGATACAGCCCCCACAGCTGCTTTTACAGGCTGGCATTGAATGCCTGCAGGTATTCCAGGCACACAATGCAAGCTGTTGATGGATCTACGATTCTGAGGTCTGGTTGATGGTGGTCCTCTTCTCACAGCTCCACTAGGCAGTGCCCCAGTGGGAACTCTGTGCAGGGGCTCCAACCCCACATTTCCCTTTCACACTGTCCTAGTAGAGGTTCTCCATGAGGTCTCTGCGCTTGAAGCAGACTTCTGCCTGGACATCCAGGCATTTCCATACATCCTCTGAAATCTAGGTGGAGGTTTCCAAACCTCAACTCTTGCCTTCTTCATACCCGCAGGCCCAATACCATGTGGAAGCCACCAGGGCTTTGGGTTTGCATCCTCTGAAGCCCTGGCCCAAGCTGTACCTTGGCCCCTTTTAGCAACAGCTGGAGCTGGAGCAGCTGGAATGCAGGGCACCATGTCCCAAGGCTGCACAGAGTAGCTAGGCCCTGGGCCTGGCCCTCAAAACCATTAATCCCTCTTAGGCTTCTGTGCCTGTGATGGGAGGGGCTGCTGTGAAGGTCTCTGAAATGCCCTGGAGACATTTTCCCCATTGTCTTGACTGTTAACATTTGACTCCTCTTTACTAATGCAAATTTCTGCAGCAGGCTTGAATTGCTCCCCAGGAAATGTTTTTTTGTCTCTCTCTTTTCTACCACATGGCCAGGCTACAAATATTCCAATATATTTTTTGCTTTGCTTCACTTTTAAATGTAAGTTCCAGGTTCAGATAATCTCTTTTTTCATGCATATGAGCATACATGTTTAGAAACAGCCAGGTCACATACATCTGGAATGCTTTGTTGCTTAGAAATTTTTTCCACCAGATACCCCAAATCATCTCTCTCAAGTTCAAAGCTTCACAGATCTCTAGGACAGGGGCAAAATGCCACCAGTCTTTTTGCTAAAGCATAGCAAGAGTGACCTTTACTCCAGTTCCCAATAAGTTCCTCACTCCATCTGAGACCACCTAAGCCTAGACTCATTGTCCATGTCACTATCAGCATTTTGGTCACAACCATTCAACAAGTCTCCAGGAAGTTCCAAACATTCCCATATCTTTCTGTCTTCTGAGCCCTGCAAACTGTTCCAACCTCTGCCCATTACTCAGTTCCAAAGTCACTCCCACATTTTCAGGTATCTTCTTAACTGTGCTCCACTCTCCCAGTACCAATTTTCTGTATTAGCTCATTCTCATACTGTTATAAAGAACTACCTGAGACTGGGTAATTTATGAAGAAAAGAACTTTAACTGACTCACAGTTCTGCAGGCTTAACAGGAAGCATAGCTAGGAGGTCTCAGGAAACTTACAATCATGGTGGAAGGCAAATGGGAAGCAAGCACGTCTTACCAGGGCAGAGCAGCAGAGAGAGAGAGAGAGAGTGAGAGGGGAAGTGCCACCACTTTTAAACCATCATATCTCCTGAGAGCTCACTCATTATCACAACAACAGTATGGGGGAAATGTGCCCCCATGATCCAATCACCTCCCATCAGGTCCCTCCCCAAACATTAAGAATTAAAATTCAACGTGAGATTTGGGTGAGGACACAGAACCAAACCATATCAGGCATTTAGACCATTTACGTTCAAGGTTAATTTTTATATGTGAGGTTTTGATCCCTTGTTTAGTTGTTAGCTGTTTGCTTTGTTGTTTCTATTGTGTTTTTGCTTTGTAGGGTGTGCAGGCTATGTGCTTAAGTGTGTTTATGTGGAAGCAGGTATGGTTCTTTTGCTTCCATGTTTAGAACTCCCATGTAAGGATCTCTTGTAAGGATGGTCTAGTGGTAACAAATTCCTTTAGCACTTGATTGCCTGGAAAAGATTTTATTTGTCCTGCACTTATGAAGCATAGTTTGGCAGGATGTGAAATTCTTGGTTGAAATTTCTTTTAAGAACGCTGAAAACAGGCCCCCAATCTCTCCTAGCTTGCAAACCTCTGCTGAGAAATCTGTTATTATCCTGATAGAGTTCCCTTTTTATGTGATCTGCACTTTTCTCTGGCTGCCTTTAAGATTTTTTCTGTAATATTGCCTTTGAACATTCTGGTGACTATATACCTTGGTGATTTTTTTTTTTTTGAGATGGAGCCTTACTGTGTCACACAGGCTGGAGTGCAGTGGTGAGATCTTGGCTCACTGCAACCTCCGCCCTCCAAGTTCCATGGATTCTCCTGCCTCAACCTCCCGAGTAGCTGGGATTACAGGTGCCTGCCACCGTGTCTGGCTAATTTTTTGTATTTTTAGTAGAGTCAGGGTTTCACCGTCTTGGCCAGGCTGGTCTTGAACTCCTCACCTCATGATCCACCTGCCTCAGCCTCCCAAAGTGCTGGGATTACAGACATGAGTCACCACGCCCAGCCAGTGATGTTCATGTTTGTGGTGTCTCACAGATGTTCTCTGGATTTCTAGCTCTCTAGCAAGATTAGGAAAGTTTTCTTGAATTATTCCCTCAACTATATTTTCCAGTTTGTTTTCTTTTTCTCCTACTTTCTGAGGAATGCCAATAATTCATAGGGTTTTTTTGCTTTATATAATCTTATATTTCTCAAAAACAGCTCATTTAAAATAATTTTTTTCTTTATTTTTATCAGATTGGGTTAGTTCACAAGACCAGCCTTCAAGCTTTAAAATTTTTTCTTCTGCTTGATCCAGTCTATTGATAACGAATTTCAAAATATAATTGAAGGCTTTAAGTGAGTTTTTCAATTCCAGAAGCTACTATTGATTTTTTTTAAGATGTTCATGTCTTTCTTAATTTCCTAGATTGCTTTAGAAGTTTATGTTGGTTTTCAACCTTGTCTTTGATTACAATGAACTTCCTTGCAATCCATGCTTTGAATTATTTATGTGTCATTTCTGAGTTTCCATCTTGGTTAGGGACCATTGCTGGAAAGCTAGTGCAATCCCTTAGTGATGTCACTGCAATCAGATTTTTCATTATGCCAGAATTCTTGCACTGGTTTCTTCTCATCTGGAGACATTGGCACTTCAAATTTTTGTACTTATTTTCATGTGGGTAGTAGTTTTTCTTTTTTTTTTCTTTCCCTATAATGGTATTATTATTATTATTTTAATAATTTTTTTTGTTTCCCTTTTACCCCTTTTCTAGGGCTTGTGCCTCTAAAGAATGCTGGGTAGGATCTTTTCACTTTGATTCTACAGCCCTATGTGCTTCTTTCAGCAGGTTTTATACTGGGCTCTGCAGGTCATCCCACAGGCCCATAGGCGGCACGTATAGGTAAGAGCTGGCTGTGACCAATGTGGCTGGATATATACTTGATCCTTGTTTCCGAGCAAAAGCTCTCCATTGTCTTAGGCAATAGGCTGATTCTGATTCATAGAATGCACAGTAGTTGGAACTCCCTGCTCAGCCCCAAGGAGAAGGGAACCACAAAGGGCAAGTTTGGACCGAGCAGGTCCACCTGCGTCCCCTGATGGCAAGCACAAGCACCAGTGCCAAGGAAGAATCCAGTGGGTGGCCACCAAGCACCCAGAGTTGTACACAGACCTGAAGCTTGGAAACCTCCTCAGCTGCAAATTCTCTGCATGGGAGGCATCCTAAGCTCCTGATTCAGGAGAGTGGGTGCTCCAGATGCCTGGAGATCTGCTTTGGCATGGAATAGAGAGGGGCCCCCTGCACCAAGATCTCTACACAGGAGGGGTAAATGACAATTATATATAGTGCTGCAGGAAACATGTGAATGCAGATAATATCTTCAATATACCAGTTTTCTTTCTTTTGGCTATATGCCCAACAGTAGGATTGCTGCATCACGTGGTAGTTCTGTTTTTAGTTTTAGGAACCTCCATACTGTTTTCCATAGTTACAGTACTAATTTAGATTACTACCAACAGTGTACGAGAATTTCTCTTTCTCCATATCCTCACCAGCATTTATTTTTTGTCTTTTTAGTAACAGCCATTTTAACTGGAGTGAGATAATATCTTATTGTGGTTTTATTTGCATTTCCCTGATGATTAGTGATGTTGAGCATTTTTTCATATATCTGTTGGCATTTGTATGTCTTCTTTCAAGAAATTTCTGTTCATTTTGCCTATTTTTAAATGGGATTACTTTTTTTTTTTGCTATTGAGCTGAGTTCCTTATATATTCTGATAATTAACTCCTTGTCAGATGAATAGTTTTCAAATATTTTCTCTCATTCTTTGTCTCTTCACATTGTTAACTATTTCCTTTGCTGTGCGGAAGCTTTTTAGCTTGATGAAATTCCATTTGTCAATTTTTGCCTTGATTGCCTATGCCTTGAGGTCTTACTACAAAAATATTTACCCAAAAGTCTTAAAGCAGTTCCCCAAAGTTTTCTTGTAGTAGTTTTGTAGTTTCAGATCTTACACTTAAGTCTTTAATCGATTTTGATTTTATTTTCGTATGTGGTGAGTGATAGTGATCTAGTTCTGTTTTCTGCATATAGGTAGCCAGTTTTCCCAGCAGCATTTATTGAAGAGATTGCCCTTTCCCCAATGTATATCCATGGCACCTTTGTCAAAAATGAGTTGACTGTTAATGCATGGCTTTATTTCTGGGTTCTCTATTCTGTTCCATTGGTCTTTGTGTCTGTTTTTATACCAATATCATGCTGTTATGGTTAAGAATTCTCATTTCTGACATAGAGACCATTTAAATAACAAAAGATAAAACATGAGAGAATATTAGAAAGCTTTTAAAAGATTTAATAAAATCTTACAGTAGAATAATAGAGGTAATAAATATGTTTTGACATGTCATGACATAGATTTTGTTAGGAGCAGTTTGTTCTTATCTGCTTCCGTGGCTATGTTTTGATTATAAAAATTATGTTTTGAGTTATTTGATTTCTTCGTTGCATATGATTCTTGTCTTTAATGAATCACTTCCCTACCTTGAACAGGTCACAGTGAACTTTTGCTTTAGTTCACTGCTGTACAGCACTGAGTGGGAAGATAGTTACACCCTTAAGGATGATAATATATCTTCTACTTTAGGTG
Source organism: Homo sapiens (assembly GCF_000001405.40). Lineage (NCBI taxonomy): Eukaryota > Metazoa > Chordata > Mammalia > Primates > Hominidae > Homo > Homo sapiens. The sequence goes on along the minus strand of NC_000011.10, from coordinate 101,078,521 downwards.
TTCTGCTTCCATCTTCTTTCTTCTAGAAAACATTTTTGTTTAATGACTCACAAAAAAATATCTGAAATGAATACAGCTTTATATTTTGCAGTTGTAAAAATGCTAAACTAGTATAAGGTAATTAGCTCTTTCAAAAATAAGTCGCTTTCTACATAAAAGAATGATTAAATGAATAGTTATCTTCTTTGAAATTTTTTAAATCCACAGTTACAGGTTTTATGGGTTTTTCTTTTTTTCTATTATTTTCTTTTTTGGTAGCAAGCCTTATCTTCACATTTTAAAAGGTTGTGTTAGAAAGCCAGTTTCTCTCCTTCTCCCCCTACCTCCTCCTCCACCTAGATTCAACCACTTCTTATGGCAAAGAGAATAACTTTCTGGGCTAGAGAGTATGGGTTGTGTAGTAAAGATTTTTGTTGTTTTTTTGTTTTCTCCTCCTACACTTGACAGCCAACAAGGCTACAAGTCTTCTTTGGAAGAACTGCAAAATTCTTGAATTTAGGACACAGTGGTATCTTTTCTAGAAGTACAGAGTCCTGCTCTGTGCCTTTAATACCCTAAGAACAAAAATCATTTTTCCTCTTTAAGGCAAGATCTACTGTGGGTGATGGCTACCACCTACCTCTCTAGACCTCACAGAATCTTCTTCTTAATGGGCATCTCTTTTTCCACCCAAATCCTGGCCTTTGAATCAGCATCTCTCAGAGACAGCACCTCTCACATTGCTCCCCAAGTTCACTGCATTGGAGCCTGCAGCCAACTGATGTCCTTCTCATCAGTCTGGTTGTTTACCCTAAACACCATCTCACACATGCTAGCTGGGGATGGTCCTCAGACTATTCATTCTCATTTCTTTGCTTAAAATTTTTCTGTGTTTGTATGGGATGTCTTTTATGGTTTGCCAACTAGAACTTTTCAGTAGTATCTACAAGCATTTATTATTTTCTAGACTCAGTAAAAAGTTAGAATTGAGGGGTTCAAATATCTCCTCCATTGTAGTTGACTTTATTTGAATGATTAAGACATATACATTTAAAAAAATCAATTCTAGTATAGTTTTGGTTTTTGGAAAATACCTGATTTCACTTTATATTTCCTGTTGTCTAGCATCTTTGTTTTCTTTGAAGTATATACAAAGGCACACTGTGTTTTGATCTGGAAATTGGAGGTGAATCCTGAAAAATGGAAGGCAAGCACTATCAGTGCTATAAAGGATTGTTAAAGTGTAGTGCCAGTGGACTGATCCCAGCACTGCGCAGTGGTCATTATCATTTTGGTAATCTGAAGTAGAAGCATGCCTCTAGACATCCTTCCATAATTTTATATAGGTAGTGTAAGGATGACTGTCTATAAATTCACCTGAACTACAGAGAGACTTCTGATATAATAAAAGAAAAATACAGAGATTGTTCAGGATGGGAATACAAACACTAGGAAACTGGAAAAGCAAATTAAAACTTCTGAATTAATAGAAAAAGTTAAATAGGAAAGAGAAAATAAAGGGAAACTTGACCAAGGTAGCAAAGAAAGAAAATGGAAAAGAGGTAATTATGAGGCAGTATAAAACAAACTCTGTCGCAAAAAAAAAAAAAAAAAAAAAAAAAATTCCATTTGTAGTTTTAAAAAAATAGTAAAGATATAGAAAAATTAGTAGAAAATACAAAAATCTGTATTCTTCTTTTATCAGAATTAAATAATTATGCCTGCCCTATTTTACCAAATTATTTTATTAAAACATGCTAAAGAAGTTTATAAGCTTTTCTTCTCCCTGCTCCCATTCTCTATAGGATTTTTGCTGAGATATTTCAAAATTTTTATTTTTAGGTTATATTTAAGCTTTCACTTCTAATCTCTCTCAAAAACCTTTCATATCACTTGTCATAAAAATTTCTTCTCATAGTATCATCATCCAGATTCAGTCACATATACATCAAGAATAATTGTGCAATACTGTTTCCTAGACTCTTCATCTTATCTTTTCAATGCATGATATTTAAATAAGCCATACTTTTTAATGTTTTCAATTTTTTAATTTATATTTATTTATTTCAAATTTTTTATTATATTTTAAGTTCTGGGATACACGTGCAGAACGTGAAGGTTTGTTACATAGGTATACACGTGCCATGATGTTTTGCTGCACCCATCAACCCATCATCTACATTAGGTATTTCTTCTAATGTTATCCCTCCCTTAGCCCCCCACCCCCCGACAGATCCCTGTGTGTGACATTCCCCTCCCTGTGTCCATGTGTTCTCATTGTTCACCTCCCACTTATGAGAGAACATGCAGTGTTTGGTTTTCTGTTCTTGTGTTAGTTTGCTCTGAATGATGGTTTCCAGCTTCATCCATGTCCCTGCAAAGGACATGAACTCATCCCTTTTGATAGCTCAATGTTATTGCATGGTGTATATGTGCCACATTTTCTTTATCCAGTCTATCATTGATGGGCATTTGGGTTGGCTCCAAATCTTTACTATTGTGAATAGTGCTGCAGTAAACATACGTGTGCATGTGTCTTTATGGTACAATGATTTATAATCCTTTGGGTACATACCCAGTAACGGGATTGCTGGGTCAAATGGTATTTCTGGTTCTAGATCCTTGAGGAATCACCACACTGTCTTCTACAATGGTTGAACTAATTTACACTGCCACCAACAGCGTAAAAGCTTTCCTATTTCTCCACATCTTTTCCGGCATCTATTGTTTCCTGAGTTTTTAATGGTCATCATTCTAACTGGCATGAAATGGCATCTCATTGTGGTATTGATTTGCATTTCGACCAGTGATGATGAGCTTTTTTTTCATGTTTATTGCCCACATAAATGTCTTCTTTTGAGAAGTGTCTGTTCATATCCTTTGCCCACTTTTTGATGGGGTTGTTTTTTGTTTTTTTTTTTGTAAATTTGTTTAAATTCTTTGTAGCTTCTTGATAGTAGTCCTTTGTTAGATGGATAAATTGCAGAAATTTTCTCCCATTCTGTAGGTTGCCTGTTCACTCTGATGATAGTTTCTTTTGCTGTGCAGAAGGTCTTTAGTTTAATTAGATCCCATTTGTCAATTTTGTCTTTTGTTGCCATTGCTTTTGGTGTTTTAGTCATGAAGTCTTTGCCCATGCCTATGTCCTGAATGATATTGCCCAGGTTTTCCTCTAGGGTTTTTATGGTTTTCAGTCTTACATTTAAGTCTTTGATCTATCTTGAGTTAATTTTTGTATAAGGTGTAAGGAAGGGGTCCACTTTCAATTTTCTGTATATGGCTAGCCAGTTTCCCCAACACCATTTATTAAATAGGGAATCCTTTCCCCATTGCTTTTTTGGTCAGATTTGTCAAAGATCAGATGGTAGATGTGTGGCATTATTTCTGAGGCCTCTGTTCTGCTTCATTGGTCTATATATCTGTTTTGGTACCAGTACCATGCTGTTTTGGCTACTGTAGCCTTGTAGTATAGTTTGAAGTCAGCTAGCCTGATGCCTCCAGCTTTGTTCTTTTTGCTTAGGATTGTCTTGGTTATATGGGCTCTTTTTTGGTTCCATAGGAAATTTAAAGTAGTTTTTTCTAATTCTATGAAGAAAGTCAATGTTAGCTTGTTGGGGATAGCATTGAATCTATAAATTACTTTGGTCAGTATGGCCATTTTCATGATATTGATTCTTCTGATCCATGAGCATAGAGTGTTTTTCCATTTGTGTCCTCTCTGATTTCCTTGAGCGTTGATTTGTAGTTCTCCTTGAAGGGGTCCTTCACATTTCTCGTGACTTGTATTCCTAGCTATTTTACTCCTTTTGTAGCAATTGTGAATGGGAGTTCAGTCATGTTTGGGCTCTCTGTTTGTCTATTATTGGTGTATAGGAATGCCTGTGATTTTTGCACATTTATTTTGTATCCTGAGACTTCACTGAAGTTGCTTATCAGCTTAAGGAGATTTTGGGCTGAGATGATGGAGTTTTCTAAATATACAATCATGTCCTCTACAAAAAGACACAGTTTGACTTCCTCTCTTCCTATTTGAATACGCTTTATTTCTTTCTCTTGCCTGATTGCCCTGGCCAGAACTTCCACTACTATGTTTAATAGCAGTGGTGGGAAAGGACATCCCTGTCTTGTGCTGGTTTTCAAAGGGAATGCTTTCAGCTTTTGCCTATTCATTATGATATTCGCTGTGGGTTTGCCATAAATAGCTCTTATTATTTTGAGATACGGTCCATCAATACCTAGCTTATTGAGAGTTTTTAGCATGAAGGGGTGTTGAATTTTGTTAAAGGCCTTTTCTGCATCTATTGAGATAATCATGTGGTTTTTGTCATTGGTTCTGTTTATGTGATGGATTACGTTTATTAATGTGCGTATGTTGATCCAGGCTTTCATCTCAGGGATGAAACTGACCTGATCATGGTGGATAAGCTTTTTGATGTGCTGCTGGATTTGGATTGCCAGTATTTTATTGAGGATTTTTGCATCAATATTCATCAGGGATATTGGCCTGAAATTTTCTTTTTTGTTGTTTCTCTGCCGGGTTTTGGTGTCAGGATGATACCAAATAAAATGAGTTAGGGAGGATTCCCTCTTTTTCTATTGTTTGGAATAGTTTTAGAAAGAATGGTGCCAGCTCCTCCTTGTATCTCTGGTAGAATTCAGCTATGAATCTGTCTGGTCCTGGGGTTTTTTTGGTTGGTAGGCTATTAATTACTGCCTCAATTTCAGAACTTGTTATTGGTCTATTCAGGAATTCAACTTCTTCCTGGTTTCATCTTGGGAGGGTGTATGTGTCCAGGAATGTATGCATTTCTTCTAGATTTTCTAGTTTATTTTCATAGAGGTGTTTATAGTATTCTCTGATGGTAGTTTGTATTTCTGTGGGATCACTGGTGATATCCCCTTTATCATTTTTTATTGTGTCTACTTGATTCTTCTCTCCCTTCTTTATTAGTCTGGCTAGTGGTCTATCTACTTTGTTAATCTTTTCAAAAAACCAGCTCCTGGATTCATTGATTTTTTTTTTTTAAGGGTTTTTCATGTCTCTATCTCCTTCGGTTCTGCTCTGGTCTTAGTTATTTCTTGTCCTCTGCTAGCTTTTGAATTTGTTTGCTCTTGCTTCGCTAGTTCTTTTAATTGTGATATTAGCGTGTCAATTTTAGATCATTCCCACTTTCTCCTGTGGACATTTAGTGCTATAAATTTCCCTCTAAACAAACACTGCTTTAGCTGTGTCCCAGAGATTCTGGTATGTTGTGTCTTTGTTCTCATTGGTTTCAAATAACTTATTTATTTCTGCCTTAATTTCATTATTTATGCAGTAATCATTCAGGAGCAGGTTGTTCAGTTTCCATGTAGTTGTGCAGTTTTGAGTGAGTTTCTTAATCCTGAGTTCTAATTTGATTGCACTGTGGTCTGAGAAACTGTTTGTTATTATTTCCATTCTTTCACATTTGCTGAGGAGTGTTTTACTTCCAATTATGTGGTCAATTTTAGAATAAGTGCAATGTGGTGCTGAGAAGAAGGTATATTCTGTTGATTTGGGGTAGAGAGTTCTGTAGATGTCTCTTAGGTCCACTTGGTCCAGAGCCTGAGTTCAAGTCCTGGATATCCTTATTAATTTTCTGTCTTGTTGATCTGTCTAATATTGACAGTAGGGTGTTAAAAGTCTCCCCCATTAATGTGTGGGTGTCTAAGTCTCTTCATAGGCCTCTAAGAACTTGCTTTATGAATCTGAATGCTCCTGTATTGAGTACGTATTTTTAGGATAGTCAGCTCTTCTTGTTGCATTGATCCCTTTACCATTATGTAATGGCCTTCTTTGTCTTTTGATCTTTGTTGGTTTAAAGTCTGTTTTATCAGAGACTAGGATTGCAACCCCTGCCTTTTTTAGCTTTCCATTTGCTTGGTAAATATTCCTCCATCCCTTTATTTTGAGCATATTGTGTCTCTGCCTGTGAGATGGGTCTCCTGAATATAGCACACCAATGGGTCTTGACTCTTTATCCAGTTTGCTGGTCTGTGTCTTTTAATTGGGGCATTTAGCCCATTTACATTTAAGGGTAATAGTATTATGTGTGAATTTGATCCTGTCATTATGATGCTAGCTGGTTATTTTGCCCATTAGTTGATGCAGTTTCTTCCTAGCATCGATGGTCTTTACAATTTGGCATGTTTTTGCAGTGGCTGGTACCGGTTGTTCCTTTCCATGTTTAGTGCTTCCTTCAGGAGCTCTTGTAAGGCAGGCCTCGTGGTGACAAAATCTCTCAGCTTTTGCTTGTCTGTAAAGGAGTTTATTTCTCCTTTGCTTATGAAGCTTAGTTTGGCTGGATATGAAATTCTGGGTTGAAAATTCTTTTCTTTAGAAATGTTGAATATTGGCCTCCACTCTCTTCTGGCATGTAGGGTTTCAGCAGAGAGATCTGCTGTTAGTCTGATGGGCTTCCCTTTGTGGGTAACCCGACTTTCTCTTTGGCTGCCCTTAACGTTTTTTCCTTCATTTCAATCTTGGTGAATCTGACAGTTATGTGTCTTGGGGTTGCTCTTCTCGAGGAGTATCTTTGTGGTGTTCTCTGTATTTCCTGAATTTGAATGTTGGCCTGTCTTGCTAGGTTGGGGAAGTTCTCCTGGATACTATCCCGAAGAGTGTTTTCCAACTTGGTTCCATTCTCCCCGTCACTTTCAGGTACACCAATCAAACGTAAGTTTGGTCTTTTCACATAGTCCCATATTTCTTGGAGGCTTTGTTTGTTCCTTTTCATTCTTTATTCTCTAATCTTGTATTCATGCTTTATTTCATTCAGTTGATCTTCAATCTCTGATATCCTTTCTTCTGCTTGATAAATTTGGCTGCTGATATTTGTGTATGCTTCACACAGTTCTTGTGCTGTGTTTTTCAGCTCCATCAGGTCATTTATGTTCTTCTCTAAAATGGTTATTCTAGGTAGCAATTCCTCTAACCTTTTTTCAAGGTTCTTAGCTTCCTTGCATTGGGTTAGAACATGCTCCATTAACTCAGAGGAGTTTGTCATTACCCGCCTCCTGAAGCCTACTTCTGTCAATTTGTCAAACTCATTCTCCGTCCAGTTTTATTCCCTTGCTGGTGAGGAGTTGTGATCTTTTGGAGGAGAAGAGGCATTCTGATTTTTGGAATTTTCAGCCTTTTTGCACTGGTTTTTCCTCATCTTCATGGATTTATCTACCTTTGGTCTTTGATGTTGGTGACCTTCAGATGGGGTTTTTGTGTGGACATCCTTTTTGTTGATGTTGATGCTATTCCTTTCTGTTTGTTAGTTTTCCTTCTAACAGTCAGGCCCCTCTGCTGCAGGTCTGCTGGAGTTTGCTGGAGGTCCACTCCAGACCCTGTTTGCCTGGGTATCACTAGCGGACTCTGCAGTACAGCAAAGATTGCTGCCTGTTCCTTCCTCTGGAATCTTCATCCCAGCAGGGCACCCACCAGATTGCCAGCCAGAGCTCTCCTGTGTGAGGTGTCTGTCGACCCCTGCTGGGAGGTATCTCCCAGTCAGGAGGCACAGGGGTCAGGGACCCACTTGAGGAGGCAGTTTGTCCTTTAGCAGAGCTTGAGCACTGCGCTGGGAGATCCGCTGGTCTCTTCAGAGCCAGCAGGCAGGAACGTTTAAGTCTGCTGAAGCTGCGCCCACAGCCACCCCTTCCCCCAGGTTCTCTGTCCCAGGGAGATGGGAGTTTTATGTATAAGCCCCTGACTGGGGCTGCTGCCTTTCTTTCAGAGATGCCCTGCCCAGAGAGGAGTCTAGAGAGGCAGTCTGGCTACAGCAGCTTTGCCATGCTGCAGTGGGCTCTGCCCAGTTTGAAGTTCCAGGTGGTTTTGCTTACACTGTGAGGGGAAAACTGCCTACTCAAGCCTCAGTAATGGTGGACGCCCCTCCCACCACCATGCTCCAGCGTCCCAGGTCGACTTCACACTGCTGTGCTGGCAGCGAGAATTTCAAGCCAGTGAATCTCAACTTACTGGGCTCTGTGGGGATGGTATCTGCTGAGCTAGATCACTTGGCTCCCTGGCTTCAGCCCCCCTTCCAGGGGAGTGAATGGTTCTGTCTCACTGGCATTCCAGGTGCCACTGGGGTATGAAAAAAAACTCCTGCAGCTAGTTCATTGTCTGCCCAAATGGCTGCCCAGTTTTGTGCTTGAAACCCAGGGCCCTGGTGATTTAGGCACCCAAGGGAATCTCCTGGTCTGTGGGTTGCAAAGACCATGGGGAAAGCATAGTATCTGGGCCGGAACACATTGTTCCTTACAGCACAGTCACTCACGGCTTCCCTTGGCTAAGGGAGGGAGTTTCCCCACTCTTTGTACTTCCCGGGTAAGGCAATGCCCCACCCTGCTTCAGCTCGCTCTCCATGGGCTGTAGCTACTGTCTAGCCAGTCCCAATGAGATGAGGTGGGTACCTCAGTTGAAAATGCAGAAATCACCCACCTTCTGTGTTGATCGCGTTGGGAGCTACAGACCGGAGCTATTCCTATTCAGCCATCTTGCCAGCCAGCAACCACTCTACTTTTTTTTTTTTTAATTTAAGTTCTGGGATACATGTACAGAATATGCAGGTTTGTTACATAGATATACATGTGCCATGGTGGTTTGCTGCACCCAACAATCCATCATCTACATTAGATGTTTCTACTAGTGCTATCCCTCCCCTAGCTCCCCACCCCTCAACAGGCCCTGGTGTGTGATGTTCCTCTCCCTGTGTCCATGTGTTCTCATTGTTCACCTCCCACTTATGAGAGAATATGCAGTGTTTGGTTTTCTGTTCTTGTGTTAATTTACTAAGAATGGTTTCCAGCTTCATCCATGTCCCTGCAAAAGACATGAACTCATCCCTTTTGATGGCTGCATAGTATTCCATGGTGTATATGTGCCACATTTTCTTTATCCAGTCTCTCACTGATGAGGATTTGGGTTGGCTCCAAGTCTTTGCTATTGTGAATACTGCTGCAGTAAACATACATGTGCATGTGTCTTATGGTACAATGATTTATAATCCTTTGGGTATATACCCAGTAATGGGATTACTGGGTCAAATGGCATTTCTGGTTCTAGATCTTTGAGGAATCATCACACTGTCTTCTACAGTGGTTGAACTAATTTACACTCCCACCAACAGTGTAAAAGCTTTCCTATTTCTCCACATCCTCTCCAGCATCTGTTGTTTCCTGACTTTTTAATGATCGCCATTCTAACTGGTGTGAGATGGTATCTCATTGTGGTTTTGATTTGCATTTCTCTCATGACCAGTGAAGATGAGCTTTTTTCCATGTTTTTTGGCCACATAAATGTCTTCTTTTGAGAAGTGTCTATTCATACCCTTCACCCACTTTTTGATGTTTTTTTTTTCTTGTAAATTTGTTTAAGTTCCCTGTAGACTCTGGATATTAGCCCTTTGTCAGATGGATAAATTGCAGAGATTTTCTCCCATTCTATAGGTTGCCTGTTCACTCCGATGATAGTTTCTTTTGCTGTGCAGAAGGTCTTTAGTTTAATTAGATCCCATTTGTCAATTTTGTCTTTTGTTGCCATTGCTTTTGGTGTTTTAGTCATGAAGTCTTTGCCCATGCCTATGTCCTGAATGGTATTGCCTAGGTTTTCTTCCAAGGTTTTTATGGTTTTAGGTCTTATGTTTAAGTCTTTAGTCCATCTTGAGTTAATTTTTGTATTAGGTGTAGGGAAGGGGTCCACTTTCAGTTTTCTGCATATGGCTAGCCAGTTTCCCCAACACCATTTATTAAATAGGGAATCCTTTCCCCATTGTTTTTTTTGGTCAGGTTTGTCAAAGATCAGATGGTTGTAGATTTGTGACGTTACTTCTGAGGCCTCTGTTCTGTTCTATTGTTCTATATATCTGTTTGGGTACCAGTACCATGCTGTTTTAGTTACTGTAGAGTTGAAGTATAGTTTGAAGTCAGGTAGCATGATACCTCCAGCTTTGTTCTTTTGACTTAGGATGTCTTGGCTATACAGGCTCTTTTTTGGTTCCATATGAAATTTAAAGTAATTTTTTTCTAATTTTGTGAAGAAAGTCAATGTTAGCTTGATGGAGCTATTATTGGATCTATAAATTACTTTGGTCACTATGGCCATTTTCAAAATATACATTCTTCCTATCTATGAATATGGAATGTTTTTCCATTTGTTTGTGCCCTGATTTCCTTGAGCAGTGTTTTGTAGTTCTCCTTGAAGAGGCCCTTCACATCCCTTGTAAGTTGTATTCCTGGGCATTTAATTCTCTTTGTAGCAATTGTGAATGGGAGTTCACTCATGATTTGGCTCTCTGTTTGTCTATTATTGGTGTATAGGAATGACTGTGATTTTTGCACATTGATTTTGTATCCTAAGAATAAGCCATACTTTTTAATATATTTTATTCATAAAAAAATGCACATAAAGCAAATGACATATAGAAACAATATGATTAACATCCACCTCTGGACTCAGTTGGCTTAAGAAAATATGAATATTATCACTACACTTGAAATTGATTGCATATTTCTTCCTTATCACATTCCTCTTTATCTTTCTCCAGAAACCTCTATATCTTTAATTTGGAGTTGGTCATTTTCTTATATTATTCTGTAGGATTTTTTAATATCTATGTATTTCTCACTAATAGATTTTTTAGTTTTGAGATGTTTTTTTCTACTCCATAGAAATGCTATGTATATTTATGCAATTTGATCTTACTGCCTAATATTATATTTGTGTTTTTTATTTTGATTTGTATTATTCTGGTTTGTTTTTTCCTACACTGTATGATTTCATTGTATGAGTATCTCCCATTTATTTATTCTCATGTATTGACATGTACTTCCACTTGATATTTGCTGTGCTTTACCTACAGTTCAATTGTGAACATTATTTTACATGTATTCTGGTGGTTCATGTGTGAGAGTTTCTGTAGGTAACCTGCACACCTGGGCATGAAATTTCTGACTGTAATACATGCTCATGCTGGGCTTTACTAGATAATGCTAGATTGTTTTTAAAGTAGTAGTAGTTTACACTCCATGGCAGCTCTTCATTGTTTTGTGTGTTCCTGTATTCTGTGTCCTTGCCGTTTTAGGTAGATGATGTCTCATGTGGTCTTACTTTGCATTTCTCTGGTTAATAATGAGGTCAGTCATATTGTTGTATTTTGTCATCTATATATTTCTTCCTCTGTGAAATATCTGTTCATGCCTTTTCTTTCTGATTTATAGGAATTCTTTGTGTATTTTGGGTATATATGTTATAAATATCTATAGGATAGATAAAAACAAGCTATCTGATAAGGCGATATGCAGAAATATAAATTAGGTGAGGAAGCAAGCCATGCAAATATCCAAGGAAAAAATCATTTCATGCAGAGGAACTTGTCAGTGTAAGACCCCAAGGCAGAAACACACTTCAAGGGCAAGATGGGCATCAATATGGGTGGAGCATGAGGGAGAATAGAAGAGAGACCATCTATGCAAGGGTAAGTTGGGCCTTGTAGAGCTTGATATGAATTTTAACTTCATTCTAAGTAGGATCAGGAGTCACTGAAAATATCAAGCAAGAATGACATAGTCTGATTAAGTCTTTAAAGTTGTATAGAAAATAGTCTACAAAAAGTGAAAGCTGGGAAACCAGCCAGCATATGTTACAATAGTCCAACTGTGATTGTGGGGACATAAATTATGGTGCAAGCAGTGGAAACAGGTATTTGGATTTGGGTTATATTTTCATGGTTATCCACTAGGATTTGCTGATGTATTAGATATGAGGTGAGAAAATAAGTGAGGTATCAGTAATGACTCTAGAGTTTGGGGCTAGAGCAGCAGGTGTGTAAATGAAGTTACAAACCTAGAAGATGCATGTTTGGACCAATGCATCAAAGTTCTGCTCTAAACATATTAATTTGAGGGGTCTGTTAGAAATACAAGTGGAGATGCTGAGAATACAGTTGCATAGTTGAGTCTAGAGTTTCTTGGAAAAGCTGGGTCTAGGACTGTAAATTTGGTAATCATTAATGTCTAGATGATATTAGAGACATAGAACTAGATGCAGACACCTAGAAAGAGCATAGATATCTAAGAGAAGTCTGAGGACTGAGCTTGGTGTACTCAAAGATTTAGAAGTTGAGAAGATGAAAAAGAGCTAGACAGAGAGACTGAAAGAGTGACTACAAGAATGAAATATGTGGAAGCCAAATGAATAAGAGCGTTAAAAGAAGAAGGAAACGATCAATGTGTTAAGTACTTACCCGGGTTAAGACCAGGACTGAGAATTGGCCATTGTTTTTTGACATTTAGAAATCTTTGAAGGCCTTGCCAAGAATAATTTGGTTGGGATAAGGAGAGGAATGACCTGACTGGAGAAGGTTCAAGGGAGAATTGGAGGAGAGGAAATGAAGAGAGTGATATTTCTCCACGGAATACATTATGTGTGAGAGGGACTATTAGAGGATGCAGACAAGAGGGCAAATGATTTCAGAGAAAAGTCCCTGAGTGGGTGAGAAGGACTAAGATTTGGTATTGAAATGTCAGGAGTATGAATTGTAACAGGAGGGAAGGCAGAGTACAGGGGTAGCCATACTGTAGATTGGCCACAAAGAAAATATTCTCCAAATGGAGCTTCTTTCCCCCTAAGCCTCCCCCAAATCATTACCTCTGCTTCTGATTCAATCCCTCAAAACCTCATCCATCAGCTTGAATGAGAGACAACTATTCAGCCACCATGTCCATCCGCTTTCTTATCCCCCCTTGCTCACCCCCAGCGTCTCAGCCCAAATCTTCCCTCCTTCCAGCCAACAAAGCTCCCATGCCTGTCATCTCCTGATGTCAATGCAGCGGGCAGGGGAGTGGGGGACCACTGACCCCACATGCCTATTCTCTGCTTAGATTACCCAAAATACCAGGTGTCGTTATTTTTCAGAGGTGCAAAAATATAATACAAAGTCATTCTAAACTGTCACTGAATTCAGAGTACTTTTTGCCATTGTCTAGTCACTGAATTCAGAGTACTTTTTGCCATTGTCTTATTTTCTCAATCAACAAATGCTAAGAGTACAATTATATGAAGTTCTACAGATTTATTTGTTACTTGCATTACTTAGTAATGGTTCTTATGCATAAAGGTTAGGAATAACTTCTTTGAACAAATATCCTATATAAAAAAACAACAAAGTGGTTTTTAAAAATCACATTGCTGTTCACATTCCCTTTTTAGTACTCTCTTCTCATATTCTTTTTTAAGCTATGTTAGGTCAAAACAACTACTTTAATAACTTAGCAAATATCTATCAGGAGTCCACTGTGTAGTTAGCAGTTTATAAAGCTTCAGATCTACATTAGTGAGTGAAATGGACCTAGCCCCTATCCTTACAGGGCAGCAAGCCTGGTGGAGGAAGCTATGTTCTCTGAAGGCAACAAAAACAGTCATGCGTCATTTAAGAGTAGGGATACATTTTGAGAAATGTGTCATGAAGTAGTCAATTTCATCATTGAACATCATAGAATGCATTTACGCAGACTTAGATGGTATAGCCTACTACACACCTAGGCTGTTTGGTGTAGCCCATTGCTCCTGGGCTACAAACCGATACAGCATGTTACTCTGTTGAATTTTGTAGGCAACTGTAATGCAATGGTAAGTATTTGTGTACCTAAACATATCTAAAGATAGAGACAGTACAGTAAAAAATACTATCTTATGAAAACACTGTTGTATATGTGGTCTGTCATTGACTGAAACAATATTATGTAGTGCAAACCATACAGCAACAGATAATAAAGACAAGATATTCAGAGTGGGAGATGGAAAAGACAATAATGTATTCCTTCATTCATTTAGCAGACATGTATTGCCAAAAGACACTGGAAAAAATAAATAAAGGTGACAAACAGGTGGTGCCTTTGTTGAAGATTATAGTCATGGACAGGGAAACTTTAGCCCTCTTCTTAACATTATCTTCCCTTAGACACAAACACACACACACACAATTCCTGGCATATGCTATATACTCCATAACTGTTCCTTCCCTTCCCTTTGTGACTCATTCCTTCCCCCAGAAAGCTCATTTGATCTCTGCAAATAATTTTGAATCCCCTTTGTTTTTTAACCATGGCAATTGTTTTGTTTTCCCATCTCCTACAAGTTTTAGCTCAACTCGTTGGGGCTGTTTTTTTTTTTTTTTTTTTTTTTTTTTTTTTTTTTTTTTTGAGGTGGAGTTTCTCCCTTGTCACCTGGGCTGGAGTGCAATGGCATGATCTTGACTCACTGCAACCTCTGCCTCCTGGGTTCAAGTGATTTTCCTGCCTCAGCCTCTGGAGTAACTGGGATTACAGGTGCCCACCACCACACCCAGCTAATTTTTGTATTTTTAGTAGAGACGGGGTTTCACCATGTTGGCCAGGCTGGTCTCGAACTTCTGACCTCAGGTAATCTGCCCACCTCGGCCTCTCAAAGTGCTAGAACTACAGGCATGAGCTCACCATGCCTGGCCATTCCTTGGGGCTTTATAGAACAAGTATAATCCTTTTTCTTTATGACAATACCCTGAGTTCAGAAATCTCAGAGACAAATGTTTACAGAGACCAGGTAAATAAGTAGCTAGAGTGACAAGACTTAAGAAAAGAGACCATTGGCGTACCACCAGTTTGTGGAGGGAACTGGAAAAACTGGAATACACATGCCCCATCCAAAAGCAACCATTGCAACTAAACTTTAACAGATTGTTGCCACCTAAGTAATTCACGGATGGTCTCATAATTCTGGTCAGCATTGTCTGAGCCAAACAAAATGTATCTATGGGCATGATCAGATACTAGAGCCAGCAGATTGCAACCTCTGCTTAGATAATTGCAGGTATCAGCCTTCCCTTGGCTAAACAGCTACTTCATACTGATAAGTAGCCCTTGCCTGGCACAAAGCAGGTGGGGCTGAATCCAGCCTGATATCACATCACCACAACTTTCTCTAATTCTCCTCAAGGCGTCTGTGAACTACCAGCAGCCCAAATAAGCATCCTTTTCTCCTTCAATCATTTCTCATAAAGCAGATTCTACTCATCTCACCATCCATCTTTTTCCCCTAACATATCAGAATTCATCAAAGTAGAAACTCCAGAAATCATCCAGAAATACAAATGTGATCTGACCAGCACGGGTATAAACTTTCTCTTTCCTTAATTTAGAAAAAGGATTATTAATTTTGAGTCTTAGATCTCATAAAAGTAGAGCTGGATTGATTTTAAGGGATCAATGAACCTACTGAAATTGTATAAAAAGATTTTGTGGGGCTGGCAAACAAATGCTTTTCTTTTAACATATTCTTAAAAGAACAAAACCTCAAAGAAGATTTAACAACCACTATAGACTAAGTTTCAATTAATGTAGTCTGTAGCATTAGATTTTGGAAGGCTGTTCTATCAGAATATGGACCAATACTGAGCGTAGTCGCTACTAAAACTCTTTGTCTTTTTATTCATATCTTCTCCTAAAAAGCTCCATGACCCCTGCAGAATACTGGTATAATTACCCACACCTCACCCACCCAGTGATTGTTGATGTAACTAATTATTTAATCCAAGTCTGAGGCCTAAATTTTTTTTAATCAAGAGTTAGTTACATGTTTTAATTTATTTTTTGTAATTTTAATATCTAACACTTTTATTCTATTTCATTCGATTGATGCTAAAATGCATAATGCTATGATTCTAAGACTTAGGAAAAATAATACTATACTGGGATATGGAGTTTATATATATTTACATGAATTTCTTTTTTTTCTTCTCTGTAGGTCGAAAATTTAAAAAGTTCAATAAAGTCAGAGTTGTGAGAGCACTGGATGCTGTTGCTCTCCCACAGCCAGTGGGCGTTCCAAATGAAAGCCAAGCCCTAAGCCAGAGATTCACTTTTTCACCAGGTCAAGACATACAGTTGATTCCACCACTGATCAACCTGTTAATGAGCATTGAACCAGATGTGATCTATGCAGGACATGACAACACAAAACCTGACACCTCCAGTTCTTTGCTGACAAGTCTTAATCAACTAGGCGAGAGGCAACTTCTTTCAGTAGTCAAGTGGTCTAAATCATTGCCAGGTAATAATAATTTTTATATACAGCATGTAATAAAAAATATACTATGTTTGTTGTATTAGTACATTGTTAAATAAAACACTCTATGCAGTAAATTAACTACAATATAAAACAGTATGTGATAGTATGTGTTTGAGCAGTTCAAAATATTTGTCTAGGACCCTAATATGTGTTACAGAAATATAAAAAATTAGAGAACACACTGAGTCTTACTGATGAGTCAGAAATTGCATACATTAAACTTATGCTAATAAGAAATAGCTTAGGTTTATGTGTTCAACCACAGATATTAGAGTAGCTCAGAAATGATAAATGGACCATTTTTTATAAATGCCCTATTTATTCTAACCCTTAATTCAACCAACCTCATTTGGTTGAAAATAAAACTGAATGTATAAAGTCATATAACAAATCAAAGTAGTATTCAGAGTACAGTAAGGTGTCAAAAGTAAATTAAGAAAACAAAATTCCCTAACGTAAATTACTTTAAAAAATAATAGCACACAGAGAAAAGAATCTCTAGTCACTATTCCTCTAATTTATACCCAAAGAGAGTATATCGCCCAGCAACAGAGAGAACTTGGATTATATCATCACAGAAGAATTTCAGTCACTTTACTTATCAGCTATTTTTGCTCCCTCAGCACAGCTCTGTAGGAGCCAAGTACTTGAAAGAATAACAAGGATGAAATTCTCACTTGGTTAAATCTTAGACTGCAGAGCCAGGAGAATACATGTATAGCAATTGTTTGTGAAGGCATTACTCCTATAATTAGAAATAGAACTTTTTAAAAAACTACATTCTCTTCACATCAGTAATACCCTTATACTGCTATAGACAAATTATTTTTCTAATATCTGATCAAGAATTAAACATATTATGTCCTTTTAGTCCCCAAGTAAATTCAATGGCACTTTTAGAAAAAGAATTTCTTCCCAATTCTCCTTAATATAATTCTCAGTTATTATTCTACCTAAAAGGTTTGAAATACAATAGATGAATTGTTACTGAAAATTCAATTACATGAAACAGAAAGAAAAATAGATACCTGTTTGTTGAATCTTTCAAAAAATACATATTAAGAAAAGTTAATAGAATTCAGTATTCTAGTGGAGATGAAGTAATTTTATAGAAAAATCAAAATGCCCAGATTCTTACTGGCTTCAGTCTCACCAAAAGGCCTTAAACAGACAATAATTTTTTGAACATTCTAAATGTTTAAGATTTATCACATAGTGGTTATCAAACTTGACAGAGCTTTAATAAATAAAAATAACCCAATAGCATTGATGAACTTTTTCTGTTTAAAAATGAGTGTTTAAACATGTGTTTAATTTTTCTCCATTGTTCTATTATTTGGAAAATATGATTTCTTTGGTTTTTGTTGATATAGTTTATATTCCTTTTGTTTGCAATTTTGGAGGTTCTTTACTATTTAAAAAGATTCTAGCATCAGCTGGTAACGTTAGAAAATAACCAGTTATACTTGAAAAGATGACTTATTCACTTTGGATAAAAGCTAAGTGACCTTTTTAACCGGAAACCGTTATCTATCAGGACTTTTTGACCCCCACACAACCACAAAAAGGAATGAGAGAAAACTCTTACATTGAATTTGGTGGCAACTTTTTTAATGCTGCAAAATGTAATTTTTGTGTAGTAAATCAGAATAATGGCAACACTAGTATTACCCATACTGTTTCCATTAATTGCAAACAGGGAAACATTGAGATTATCAAAGTCTCTTGTGGCCTGTGGACTTTTAAAGCCATATTTTCATGGTCTGCATTTTGGGAATAGCACTATTGAATGAATTATGAAAATGGTCAGTGAGCTAGAGTGACTATTTGACCTCTGAGAAAGGACTTGGATGGACACATGTATAGAAAGTACTTTAGTATTATTAGCTACTTAAAACTGATTTCAATTGACTTGAAATAAGCTTACAGTTTTTATTCACTTATTCACTCAATAAATGTCTATTATGTACCTGCTGTGTTCAATATCTAATAATTATACAGTGGTTTAGAAAGAAAAGCCACAAGGCTGGGCTCATGGTGTGGATGCATTTTGGTACAGCACATGCTAGCATCTGGTCATCAGTTTTGCATGTAAAAGAAATTTATTTCGTTCATTCACTCATGTGTAATAAAACTAATAAGTCTGTGGAAGACAGACTTTTGTTAAGTGATCCTCACTAATTAGCCAGAATGTCAACTAACTTGCTTATTTACAGTGAGACACACACACACACACGCACACACACACAATATAAATATACATAATACTTATGTTGCTAGGAGAATATATTAACAGATCAGATCATTCTTTCACAATAGGAAACTGTATTTGGAAAGTCACATTAAGATCTGATGCAGAATGACCATCATAACAAAGGTGACAGCGTTTATGAAGACACCTAGGCATATATTTGCAGGTGCCCTAAGAATTCTTATTGCCTGGTAGGGCTTTCTCATTTCTTCTTTGTCTACACTCTTCCATTATCTTGGATCTGTTATAATAATGGTAGTTTATATTTCTTCAAAAATATTTCAGATATATCCTTTTGTTTCTTTTCTTTTTTTTCTTTTTTTTTTTTTTTTTTTGAGAGAGGGTCTCACTCTATTGCCCAGGCTGGACCACAGTGGCATGATCTTGGCTCATTGCAGCCTGGACCTCTTGGTCTCAAGTTATCCTACCACCTCAGCCTCCTGATGAGCTGGTAGCTGGGACTACAGGCATGCGCCACCTTGCTTGGCTAAATTTTTTTTATTTTTAGTTGAAATTGGGTTTAACTGTTTTACCCAGGCTGGTCTTGAACTCCTGGACTCAAGTGATCTGCCTGCCTCAGCCTCCCAAAGTGCTGGAATTACAAACATGACTCACCGCACCCCACCCCTTTTACTTTAATAGAGACTTGCAAGATGCTCTAGCCTTATGTCAGCACGTTTATAAACCATCTCTTAGGATACATTGCAAATGAGTGATTTTGCATGGGCTTTTATCTGTAGCCTTAGTGGGCAATATTTTCTTATTTGAAATGTAGAGCAACACGATATTTGAATTTTTTTAATGAACAAGACATATTCCCTCTATTAAGGAACTCTCAATCCAGTAGCAGAGAGAAGATACCCAAACAACTATAGTGTTATGTGAAAGTGATATAAGATACAGATATAATGAAAGTGGGGACAGAAGAACATTTTTGGCTTCAAGGACTAAAGAAGCCTTCAGAGACAAAAATGTCAGTTAAACTGCATCTTACAGGAGAAACAAGACTTTGATAAATCATGATAAGAGAAAGCATTCTAGATAGAAGGAACAGTATGGCTGAAATAAGAAAAGCATGAGATAGGTTTGCTGAATAATGCATTAAACCAGCATATTAATGGTTCTCAACCTTTTCAAGTGTGGGGGGTCCCTTAGTAACATCAAAAATTTTATAGTCTCCCCATAGGGTAGTAATTAAAGCTTTTAGTAGCTATGGATTGAGAAAACACATTTGTACATACAGTCCCTCGGACACTGCTACAGTAAGTACTGGCCTTCGGGAGATTTAATCACCCAAATGGTAAGAAACCATTGAAAAGAAATTTATTTTGAACTGAATAATGGAAAGTAAACTTAGAGGTGTAAGTTATAGGCTGATCAAGGAGGGTCTTAAAAATTACTGTAGATGTTAGAGTTTAAATTAAAAGTACTAATTCACAATTCGGTGTCACCTTTAAATTGTCCTCATCCTGTACATCAATACGTTGCAGTGAAATTGATGTGACAGAGGGGGTATGAGGGAAACACTTCCGTTGCATAAATTTTGTCTTGATATTTCAGTTAACTTAGTGAAAACTCCATTTAGGTCAATGCTTTGAATTTTTAAACCTTGCATTTTTTAGGACATACTTTATTCTTTGTGTCATTTCACCAGACTACTTGCAATTATCAGTATCAGAATATTAGAACAGTATTTTGCCTCATTTTTCTGCTTTTGAAGCGTGCCAAAACAACTTTTGAGTCAGTGAGTCATTGCATCTTGACAGAGGATTTTTTCTCTTCCTTCCCGAATCAGAAGACTAAATTAAATTATTGCTCTCCAGAAAAAAATGATGAGAGAGAAATGAGAGTAGCATACTGAGAGTAAAGGCCTTAATAAATGTGTTGATAAAGACTAAACCATGGTTTTTCTCACACCCTATTCCACTGAAATTATGATTGCCAGTGGCAACAAAAATTTTTACTTGTCAAATTAGATGAATATTTCCAGCCCTTAATGTGTTTCACCTACCTCTGGGACTATTGGCAAAGTAACTATTTCTTGCTAAGACTCTTGCTTAGGTATTTGTCACTTCCCTTCCAGGTAGATATGTTTCTCTCCCTATGTACATTTCCCGACTCCTGTGTGGATTTGTTCTTCCACCCACACTATAAATTTGTTTGTGTTCTGGGTTCTATCTTTTCCAGTCATTTCTCACTCTACACAGTCTGCATAAGCTCATTCATAGTCTTGTCTTCAACTACCACTATATTTCGATGACTCCTAAATACATAATATTAGCCAGACCCTCTACAAAACTACTGAACTTTCAACTGCTTATTACACAGCTCCACCCAGATGACTTCTAAGTCAGCATGACCCCCTAAACCTAAGGCCTTTTCCAGTATCTTGAAATGGCACCTCAGCAAGAATTTTTGGTATCATCCTTGGCTCAGTTTCTCCTTCACCCCTTACCCAATAAATTGTCAAATTCTATCAACTCCACTTATTAAATATATGATTCATTATACATGCTACTTCTGTTGCTACTTCCCTGACTTAGTTTGGTGCTGGTCTTTTTTTACTTGGATTCATGTTGCAGCCTCCTGACTGATTCTATTACCATCAATTTCACGTGGTGCCCAAATGATCCTCTATTCTACCCCCAGAATCATTTTTCTAAAACAATTTTAATCAATCATATTTTCCATTTCTTTTTCCAAATAGCATCCAAACTCCATGGCCTCAATATCCAAGGGCTTTCTGTGATCTGGCTCCTGAATTTGCAGTGTTAATCTCTCATCATTCCTCTTCACACGACTCTAAGATCTAGTTCCCTAAATGCTGTTTGCTCAAATTCTAGCCTTCTTCTCTTGCCCATATTATTTTTCCTACCTGGCAGCCCATCTCTTTTCCCACGTCTTCCTTTGACTGACCTGTAACTATCTTTCAGGATTCGCATTACTTGTCACTTGCTCTGGGAAGATTTCTCTGAGCCTTCCTAGACTGGGTGAGGAAACCCTGTACCCTCCCTTGTCTCCTTTGTGCTTGTCAACCATAACACTATGACTCTGAGTTACAATTGTGTTCTACTTTTCTATCTGTCTCACAAGCCTATAGTGTTAAAGGCAGAAACAGCATCTTTCTAACCTTGATCCTAATTGCAAGTATAATGCTTCCTCCCAAATAGATGGTTAAAGAATATTTATAGAAATTTAAATTACAGAATTGATTTGCAAAGAACTGTACTACCTTAGATTATTAGACATTAACTTCTTATTCAGCATAAATCATCAAACATACGTTGGTGATTATACTTAATCATATTGAAGCTTCTTTGTGCTTCTCAACATTGATACTTGTGTATGAAAGTTGTTGCTTTGTGTCAGAAGGTGCTGAGATATTTAATGCTCTGCCATTGTTGTAGATTATCTGTTTCAATTACATGACATTTTTTACAGAACCAAAACCTACATATTTTATCAAAACTCTGGGAGTAAGATTGGGGAACTTAGTAGTACTGTCATACAGGCCATCTTTTTTTTTTTTTTTTTTCTTGAGATAGGCTCTCACTCTGTCACCCAGGCTGGAGTGCAGTGGCATGATTGTAGCTCACGGCAGCTTAGAACTCCTGGGCTCAAGCCATCGTCCTGCTTCAGCCTCCCCAGTAACTTCAGCCTCCCCAGCACTACAGGTGTGCACCACCACACCTGGACAAGCTTTTTAAATTGGTTTGTAGAGACTGGGTCTTGGCTGGTCTCAAATTCCTGGCCTCAAGTGACTCTCCTGCCTCGCCTCCCAAAGCACTGGGACTACGGGCATGAGCCACCACACCCAGCCCCAGGCCATCTCTTCACTATATACTTTCTGTTAATTCTTTAAGCTAAATTTGGACAGCTGTAACAGGGCTTTTGTCAGAAATTATCAGGTCAAGTCACTTAAAAGGAAAAGTGTTTTTTTTTTTAACATTTGTTAAACACAATTAGTGATAATCCATCACTTCTCCATGTGAAGGTTTTTCATTTTGGTCATCTCAAATGTACTAAGTTTACCTGATCATTATCATCACTGGGAATTTAATCTCTGTGTTCCCATCTTTGTTTCAGCATAAAGTAATGAATGATATTACAGTTAATAAGGAAAAAAATAGCATTTCTATACTAGGCATGTTCAAGTCAATTTAACATTGTACATTTATCACAGATAAGCACTGTAAAAGGTGGAGTAAATAAAGGTTATTTTCTGAGTTCTATTCCATTCTGTCAAACAAACAGAAATATAGTTTCTGCTATAAATATTGGTAATTTTATAAATTTAAAGTTATTGTAATAAGATTTGCCTTTAATGTTGTCATAAAATAAAAGTAAGCCTGGATTTCTAGTCCCAGAATGCAAAAACAAAGAAAAAAGCAAAAAGACGAAAACAAAAACTAAGAGTAGGATAAAGTGAATGTAAACATGTAAATGTAGACAGGATCTGTTTTTGGATAAAGAACAATTTAATTCTTACATAATTTTGTAAAATGTTTAAATGTTTAAAACTACTCAAAGGTTAACATAAAACAAATGCCTGAAGTGAAAAATTACAGCATAGTTAAGTCAAATATTTAAATATTATAAAATACTTTTTTTAGAAAGTTATAAAGTTCACCAAGAAAGATATAGAGAATAATAAATGTATTTGTGGAGATTATTGTGAACACTTGGTTAATGTTTTAATACATCTGATTAATGAAAACGAACTTTCTATGAGCCTTTTTTTTTTTTTTTTTTTTTTTTTTTTTGAGATGGAGTCTCGCTGTGTCACCAGGCTGGAGTGCAGTGGCACGTTCTTGGCTCACTGCAACCTCAGCCTCCTGGGTTCAAACCATTCTCCTGCCTCATCCTCCCAAGTAGCTGATGAGACTACAGGCATACACCACCACACCTAGCTAATTTTTGTATTTTTAGTAGAGACAGGGTTTTACCATGCTGGCCAAGATGGTCTCAATCTCTTGACCTTGTGATCCACCCACCTCGGCCTCCCAAAGTGCTGGGATTACAGGCGTGAGCCACTGCGCCCAGCCCATTTTTTTGTATTATATGAAATATATAATTTGTTATATATAACAACACACATAAAATATATATTCTGGAAAATATATATTCCAGAACAAACACATAATTTATCTTTAAAATTTTTTCACCATTATTTTTTATACTTCAGTTCTATCTTATATGTTCTATAATATATAAAATGCCTCCTAACACTTTTTTTTATGGCATTGTGTTTTAGTATTAGAGACTTCCCATTAAACTGACTGGTGGATTTCATACTAGTATTACTCCAATGAGCAATTCTGTTGCATTGATAGACCAATAATAAATATCTCCATAGTGTTCTACAGTGTGCATAATTATCCCATTTGTCTCATAGCAACTCACTGAGTTAGTTATCATTGTGAATTGTGATTTTTACTTATGAAGAAATTTAGATTCAATGATAATAAGTGATGTTTCCAAAGTGGCTGTTAGTAAGTGGTAGAGCCAGGACTGGAACTTGGGTCTTCTGTCCTGAATGCCTTCCAATTTGTTGAGACAGATCAGCAATAGGGAGGTTTATATGTGCCTCCCTTTAGAAAGGCTTCCTTTTCAAAAATTAAGACAATTCATTGATCTCTTGTCAAATGATTCTAAATTTTATCACAAAATTACCCATTTTTATAGTCTCTTAAATATTTGACTTACAAGCAGCATTTATGTATTAGATTTATTGTATTGAGCTTTATAATTTTCTTAAAAAGTTATTATGTAGACCTATACTTGAAGACACGTTCAAGTCATATGCAAATTAAAAAATGATAAAACTTGCATACCAAAAATTTTTTTGGCTGCTTAGTTAGAGAGTCTTTCTGCACCTGAGTAAACCAGGATTCTTGGATGCCAGTATTAAAAATAAACTATGTTAATTATAAAACACACAAGCAACAACAAAAAACCCTGACTTTTAAAAACAAAAGAAAAAGAAAAAAAATAATTTACTGAGAGGACAACAGGGGTTCACTGAATAGAAGCTAGAGGACAAGCTTAGAATATGGGCAGAAGCCAAGGCACATCTGAAGGGCTAAAAAGCAAGCATCACAAATCCTCCCATTGGTTCTCATTATCTGGACACCACCAACATCAAGAATAAATAGTCATATCTTTCTCTTTGCTTTAGTATTTTCTGATTCAAATTCCTGTTAGTATATGTTCCATGGGCCAAACCTATGCCCCAAGCCCAAAGAAGGAGGAGGTTTACCCAGCTTTCTCCGTGGGAAAGTAGGAAGGTAAGGCATTTGCTCTCGCAAAAACTACAACCAATGGGGAACTCTGCCCACACAGAGAAAGGAAGGAGGGGAGGAAGGAAGGAGGGAAGGAAAGAAGGAAAGCAGGAAGGTATTAGGGAGCAGTGAGGGAGGAGGAGGAAAAAGAGGAAAGGAAGAAAGAGAGGGAAGGAAGAAAGGAGGGAGGGAGGAAGGGAGTGAGAGAAGAAAGGAGGGAGAAGGGGAAGAAAGAAAGGAGGGAAAAGGGGAGGGAAGAAAGGAGGAAGAAGGGGAGGGAAGAAAGGAGGGAGAAGGGGAGGGAAGAAAGGGAGAAGGGGAGGGAAGAAAGGGAGAAGGGGAGGGAAGAAAGGGAGAAGGGGAGGGAAGAAAGGAGGGAGAAGGGGAGGGAGGAAAGGTGGGAAGGAGAAAAGGTTAGACATTGAAGAGCATCCCTTCTCAGTAAAAGGTAAATGCTCACTATGGCATCTCTAATTATGAATATGCATTTGAGTTTTTGGTCTTATTGAGGCTAAGGAGTTCTAAGAAGAGAGTAGCAATTTTTCTACTATTCACATGAAGATGGGACGATCTGAAGTGTATGAAGAGAAGAGCCTTCTTTTTTGCTACCTACCTTGACATGATTAACATTGTCAGGAAATAACTTTCTTTTGCTCTTGATAGCTAATGAATTAAGTTTTGCTTTGGTTTTACTTTTGAAACAGATTATTTGTAAGAACATCAGTGGATTTTTAGAGAAAATAGATGTTTTTAAAACAGCTTTATAGAAAGTGGTTGATGTTCTCAGCAAAACATTGTCTCCATACCTTTAATTTTAAAAATTCTCCATTTTCATCATTTCAGTTATACTCAGATACAAATAACTTTCAAATTTATATTAATATTTTTAGCCCATATATCTCCCCATACTTCTAATTCATATGTGCAGCTGATACCAGGATGTTGACCCCTGAATCCTATCCAAAACTATTTTCTCCCTAGCAAGTTTCTTCTCCTTTATTTTATCTCAGCAATGCTGTTATCATCATCTACCCTTCAAGACAAATACTGAAAGATGTATTTGATTCCTTCTTCTTCCCATCTACCGGCAATCAGTTGACAAATGTCTTTTATTTTTCCCTTTAAATATTTTTCTGATGCACTCTCTCCTCTTAATTCCAATGTGTTGACTTGACTTACTTCAGGCTTTTATCATCTCTCACCTGGGCTTTGACAGTATCTCCCAACTGTCCTCCCTAACTCCAGACTTATTCCCTTGAATCCACCTACCACATAGCTAAGAATGATCCATCTACAATGCAAGGCTATGTCACTCCCATTGCTCCTTAATAGACTTGCAAGACCTTGGATGATCTGACCCAGCCTACATCTCTAAACACATCTTTGCTTCTCCCACCTTTAAGTTACTCATTGTTGAACTGGTGATCTTCCCTTGAGAATTGGGAAGACATGGAGAGACTTGTGATGATTAAGTCAAGATTCATTTGCCCTTTCCCTGCCATCCTTCTGCCACCAACACCATGGAACAGCCTAAAAGAGGATGAAAGACCAAAGCATTCACACCATACCCCCCAATACACACACACACACACACACACACACACACACACACACACACACACACACAGATTCTAAATCTCTTAAGCCACACGGAAGTTTAAAACAAGACTGGATTAAGTTTCAGAGAACGAAAGTGACCTGATGACTGTGGAATCTACCCGACATAGTTAAGGGTTGTTAAAAGAAAATTAGATATAACACAACTGAAAGCAGTGGTTTTACAAAGTAAGACCAGTTTATGTTTAAATCCCAAAGAACTGAGATTTAACGAACTGATTATATTCCATTCAGGCATTATCTCTCTTTTTTTCTAGAAAGTTTTTCCTGACCTCCCTCCCGATTGACTGATACACTCCCTTTTAACCTTCTCTACCCCAGCACTCATGTGCTTGTTTCTCCTGTTGAGTTGTGAGCTGCTTTTGAGGCTAGGATTGACTCTTACTCATCTTCATTTTTATACAGTGCCTGGCACCCAAATGGTTCTTATTAAATGGGTGTTGCATGAATGAGTGATGGATGATGGATTCACTTAGCAAAATCCCAGAAATGCTAAATCACAGTGACTAATTTCAAGTGACTTCCAAAGTTGCTGATATTTTAGGCTGTATTATTTATTAATGTTTTCTGATTTTCAGTGTAAAATATGTTGGGATTGAAAACATTTTATTACCCTACGCATACCTATTTTCAGATTTATATGTATTTTCAACATTTTTGAGATAATTCAGTCATTTTTATGGTCACTGTATTTTTAAATTTGTTTTGTAGGTTTTCGAAACTTACATATTGATGACCAGATAACTCTCATTCAGTATTCTTGGATGAGCTTAATGGTGTTTGGTCTAGGATGGAGATCCTACAAACACGTCAGTGGGCAGATGCTGTATTTTGCACCTGATCTAATACTAAATGAGTAAGTAGTAACTTTTGTTGTTTTTGTTATTTTAAGTGTACATGTAGGATAATTTTGAAAGTTATATTTCAATAGATGATCACATATTTAGTGTTCTTGATATGATGACATTACTGTCATTTTACGGTAATTTTATATTTGGAGCTTTTTCCTCTTGTTTCAAAATATAGTTATATCAAATCCAATTTTCTTACACATCAAGAATGTATCAAGAAATATATTTAAAGATAAACTTAAATGTTTCATTAATCAATTTAAAATTTCATAGCTTGGTACTAATGACAATAATAAATGAGAAATATTTTTGTTACTGACTTACATTCAAAAAGTAAAAACATCTTTCTTCATACATGACAAATTAGACTGCTAATTTATTTAAAAAATTGAAAGATAAATATTTCAATTTGCTTTATATTTAAATAATTTTAATTAATTTTCTACCTACAACCTTTAACTGAATAAGAATCTTTTCATGGTAATATTTATATTGTTCTAGTGGTAAATGCTGACTTAGAAGTATATAACTCACACTTATATAAGTCTTTACAGTTTTTAGATAATTTTCATGTTTCATTACATTTTATCCAACAATTCCTTGAGATAAGTAAGGAATCAGCATTCTTCATTGTACAGTTTAGAAAACTGAGTCTCAGGAGAATTATATAATCTGCCAAATAATTTGAATGACAGTGAGATTCCTTATCTCTTTTTAGCCAAAATCTAGTTTTCATTATTCTTGTTAGCTTCATTTGACTAATGTGGACATTATAAAACAACACAAGGTTGGGAAAATGCCTTAATTAAATTTTCTCAGCCTTCAGCACTTGTGTTTAACTTTGTCAATTAATTAATGCTTGCCAATGTCCTCTTTTACTCTTTTCTGTATCATTGTATATTTCCCTAGAAAAGTTTAAAATATGGTAAGCTTTGTGAACTGACTTCTCCTATTTAATTGCACACAAAATTATATAATTTTTCATAGAAAATAAATTGTAAGTAAATAAAACATTTCTGAGCATTCTTCAGCTTCACATTCTCAACTCCTACACCTCTGCTGTGTTTTCTTGGTTTAGGTATTTAAAGTGTGATAATAAAAGTGAGAAACAATGTTAATCTTGGTCACTGTGTATTTAATATAATTTTCTAGTTTTAAGATTTCTTAACCTCAAAAATTCAGTATTGTGAAAAGTTTAGAAGATGTTTAAAATTCCAAATATTGGGTTTGTTTATTAAAAGTAGTAGTCATTTTCAATAATATGTAAGGTAATTACCAAAACCATATTCCCTGATAAATTACCTAAACTGGCTGAGACACTATTTTTTTTCCTGTTGCTTTTTCTTTTGTGTATTGTGTGTGATGCAAGACAGCGGATGAAAGAATCATCATTCTATTCATTATGCCTTACCATGTGGCAGATCCCACAGGAGTTTGTCAAGCTTCAAGTTAGCCAAGAAGAGTTCCTCTGTATGAAAGTATTGTTACTTCTTAATACAAGTGAGTGAGTTCAAGTAACTTAATGCAAGATATCTAGTTTCTTAATTCATTAGAAAAGTTGCAAACAATATGATTATATAGTTATGTATGAGGTAGACGTCTTGGATTATAAGTATAAAGAAGAAATACCCAATATATTGTTATAGACATTAATAAAATTACTGGATTTTTTCATCTTTTACCTACCATATAATACTAAAATAGCCTCATCAATTTCTTTTTATTTTAGATAAAATGATTTAATTACTCTTTCATATTCACCTAATTCAGTAATATAAACTACAGTCATGTGCCACATAATAATATTTTGGTCAACAACAGACCACATATACAATGGTTCCCTAAGATGATAGTGGAGCTGAAAAATTATCATCGCCTAGTCCTGTTATAGCCACCATAACATCATAGCACAATGCACTAATCACATGTTCGTGGTGATACTAATGTAAACAAACCTACTGTGCTGCCAGTCATATAAAGTATAGCACATACAATTATGTACAGTACATAGTACTTGGTAAAGATAATAAAAAACTCTTACTGGTTTATGTATTTACTGTAGTATACTTTTCTATTGAGAGTCACTACTTCTACTTTTTTTAAGTTAACCGCAAAACAGCCTCAGGCAGGTCTGTCAGAGGGATTCCAGAAAAGGGCATACGTCACCCTGGGAGATGACAACTCCGTGTGTGTTACTGCCCCCTGAAGACCTTCCAGTGAGATAAGATGTTGGGGTGGATGACAGTGATATTGATGATTCTGACTCTGTGTAGGTCTAGGCTAATGTGTGTTTTGGGTATTAGTTTTTTTAAAAAAAGTTTAAGCAAAAAAGAAAATATTTAAAAATAGATAAAGTTTATAGAATAAAGATATAGAGAAAGAAAGCCAGGCACGGTGGCATGTGCCTGTAGTCCCCACTACTTGGGAGGCTGAGGTGAGAGGATCACTTGAGCCCAGGAGTTTTAAGTCCAGCCTAAGCAACATGTGAGAACTTGTCTCTAAAAAAAGAAAGAAAGAGAACTGTACCTTGTGTTTTTGTTTTTAACTAAATGTTATTACAAAAGAGTCAAAAAGTTAAAAAACTAGAGTTTATAAAGTAAAAAAGTTACGGTAAGGTAAAGCTAATTTATTATAAAAGAAATAAAAATATTTTTATAAATGTAGTGTAGCCTAAGTGTACAGTGTTTATAAAGGCTATCGTAGTGTATAGTAATGTCCTAGGCCTTCACATTCTGTCACCACTCACTCGCTGACTCACGCAGAGCAACTTCCAGTCCTGCAAGTTCCATTCATGTTAAGTCCCCTATGCAAGTGTCCCATTCGTATCTTTTATATTGGATTTTTACTATGCCTCTTCTGTGTTTAGATACAAAACACTTACCATTGTGTTACAGCTGCCTACAGTATTCAGTAATCACATGCTGTACAGGTTCATAGCCTAGGAATAAGGCCTAGGTGTATAGTAGTCTATACCATCTAGGTTTGTGTGAGTACACTCTGTGATAATCACACAGTGATGAAATCACATAAGGACACATTTCTCAGAATATATCCCCATCATTAAGTGATACACGACTGCAATTAATATTGGATAAGCACAAACCATACTCTCCTCTACCACCACTCTCACCCCATCCCCAAAGTATTTACTATATAAAATACATAATTTTGTTTAGAATTATTTTTATCAAGATAAATTGTTAAAACATGTAACTATAAAGATTAGCATCTTAATATAATAGTGGTTTCTTTATCACTGACACAGTCCAGTGAGTTAGCAAGAAACACCCAGGCTCCTTCTAGCCAGTGGCTTCACCCCTTCCTAGTGGCTTGCAAACCTCTATTGGACATGACTAGAAATGAGCACTGAGTGAGAGAGATTTTGAAGGCTAGATCTGAAACTATCATACATCACTTTCACCCACATTCCAAGGCACTTAAGCTGCAGGAAAAGCTGGGAAATACAGTCTAGCTATAGGCCCAGAAGAAAGAGGAAATTATGTTTTATAAAGCATTGCATTGATCACCAGAAGGACAGGCAAATATCCGTTCCACTTTTTCTTATATCCAAGGAACATACTTACCTCTGCCTCAGTGGATCCCCAAGGGTCTGGGTGGGCAAAGTTTTAAAAAAAAGAAAAAGCAGCTGCTTTGACCCTTGCATAGGCAGGATCAGCCCTCAAATGTACAAACTGATGCTTTTGTGATTCATTGTGATTTCTATGACAACCACAGGGAGCTAAGACCTCAGGCCGAGGGTGAGCCTAAGGTCTTTCTTGGCAACATCTTTACAGGGACTTCTTTCTAAGGTCCCAAATCTCAAATGGCTAGGGGGTGCAGATCAGGAGGGAAGGGCAGGAGAGATAAACCCTGAAATGGAAGGCTTCCTCATAGAATTTATGCAAAGACAGGGATGAATACATAACCATCTTGGGAACCCTATTTGGACAAGGAATTTCAAGGCTAATTTGGTGACAGAGCATCAATTGAACAAAGGATATTTACGTGGAACCGGCCCAGAGAGTCAACTGGAATACATTTAATAATACAGTAATTAGCTCCTGCCCTTCTTTGCATGAAGGAATGAATCCTATAGCACTTATGTCACAGATAGTCCTAGATCTTCCAAACTGGCTTATATCCTTAACATAATTCTCTATTTATGGATAGGCAACATTATGCTGGGGAATTAAACAACAATGGAATTAATCAACAGGGAGGCTTTGCTCATTGTTGTCACTTAGAAACTTAGGCGATCACTAGAGCAGTGGTAAGAAAAGGAAGTGAGATTCATACAACTTCCACTCACATACCATAGAGAGTAAGATTTTTAGCCATTTGCCACTTCACAAAAAGGAAGAAAAAGAAACTATTTAATGAATAGTACTTACGCTTTCCACAAATTCTAATCAAGATTCTAATGAGATTTGGGGAGAAGAGGGTGAACTTGACAAACCTACTGAAAATCCATCTTTAAAACTAGAAGAATAAATAGATAAGCATTATAAAAATATGCAGGGAATTAGAAAGCTGCTGTTAATTAATACAGCATGGGAGAAGAGATATACTGAACTTTTGGGCAAATCAGACAAGTATATATTAGAATATAAATAGTATAGTGGAAACCACAAATCAATGAGTCTGAAACAAATAAATGTTAAGAAAAATAGTTTTATATTTGGAAAAAAACTGTTTGGATATGTAGCTCAAATTATATCCTTGAATAACAGATAATTGAGTTAAATGTAAACACTCAAATAATTAAAAAACAAGCTAGAAGAAATAGAAATAATCTTCAATCTCAAATACCTTTTATAAAATAAATGCAAGGAGAAGATTGGCAAAGTAAAACTTTGATAATTTGGTAGTTATGAACTTAAACCTCTCATTTGCCATTAAATATGAAAATATAAATCTCCAGGAATAGACAGTAGGTTGAACAAACATTTTTACATTGTTCTCTCCAAAATTACACTAAAGGCCAGATGTAGTCGGTCACATTTCTAATCACACTTTGGGAGGGCAAGCTGGGCAGATGGCTTGAACCCAGGAGTTTGAGACCAGCCTAGGCAACTTGGAAAACCCCGTCTCTAAAAAAAAAAAAAAAAAAAAAAAAAAAAAAAAAAAAAAAAAAAATTAGCCAGGCGTAGTGGCAAGTGCCTGTAGTCCCAGGTAGCCGGGAAACTGAGGTGGGAGGATCACCTCAACCTAGGAAGTCGAGGCTGCAGTGAGCCATGATTGTGCCACTGTACTCCTGCCTGGGTGATTGAGTGAGACCATGTCTCAAAATAAAAATAAATAAATAAATAAATAAAAATAAATAAATTACACTAAAATCTTAGTAAAGGGATTTACTATGAAAAATTAAGAAAAAATGATTTTACATTCATGTTTACAGCTGAGGGAAATATAGGGATTGGTTGGTAACCTTAAAGAGAGCTGTGAAAGTTTGAAATGACTGCTATTTGAAGTAGTCCAGAAAATTAGTACAGCCTCTATGGAACACCATATGGAGATTTCTCAAAAAACTATAAATATAACTACCATTCTATCTAGCAATCCCACCACTGGATATCTACCCAAAGGAAAAGAAATCATTATGTCAAAAAGACACCTGCACTCTTGTTTATTACAGCAGTATTCACTATAGCAAAGATAGGAAATCAATCCAAGTGTGTATCAACAGATAATAGGATAAAGAAAATGTGATGTACTCACACATATACATACATACACACACACACACACACACACACACACACAAAATGGAATAGTATTCAGCAATCAAAAAGAATGAAAGTGTGTCTTTTGCAGCAACATGGATGGAACAGGAAGTCATTATCTTAAGTGAAACAATTCAGAGACAAAGTCAGATACCACATGTTCTCGCTTATAAGTGGGAGCTAAATAATGCATGTACATGGGCATAGAGTATAGAATAATTGACAGTGGTGCCTTAGAAGGCTGGAAAGGTAGGAGGGGGGTGAGACATTACCTAATGGATACAATGTGCATTATTGGGTGATGGTTATACCAAAAGCTCAGATTTCACCACTATGCAATATATTCATGTAACAAAACTGCACAGATGGTCATTAAATTTATACAAATTTAATAAAAAGAGGTTCTAGATATACATATAGATGTACATACTAGAGTTAAGTTTTCAATTGACAAAAATTTGCATAGATATACTGAATTGCCAGAATTACTCTTCAGAGTCTCCTTTATATACAAGATCTTGAAAACTCAAAACCAAAGAATTAACTTATTTGTTTTTCATAAGTTTGTATCTCTGGCCTTCTTTTCTAGGGGAAATGGAAACCAAGTTTTGATTGGGGTGCAGGGGATAAATACAGGCTTAAGAAATAGTAATTTTCCTCCCTGTTCCCTGAGATACAACAATATTGGAATTAGGCCAAGGCTGGGCATGGTGGCTCAAGCCCGTAATTCCAGCACTTTGGGAAGCTGAGGTGGGCGAATCACTTGAGGTGAGGAGTTCAAGACCAGCCTGGCCAATATAGTGAAACCCCATCTCTACCAAAAAGACAAAAATTAGTCGGACATGATGGCACACACTTGTAATCCTAGCTACTCAGGAGGCTGAGGCGGGAGAATTGCTTGAACATGGGAGGCGGAGGTTGCAGTGACCTGAGATTGTGCCACTGAACTCCAGCCTGGGCGACAGAGCAAGACCCTGTGTCAAAAAAAAAAAAAAAAAAAAAAAAGCAATTAGGCCAACTAACAATCTTGGAATGGCCTCTCAGTGTTCCAGTAAAAGAAAGAGTTGCAAGTCTGAGGTAGAAATGATTAAGCTTAATTAGGAAGGCATGTCAAAAGTTGATATAGGTTGAAAACTAGGTCTCCTGAGCCAAGCAACTAGCCAAGTTTCAAATACAAAGTAAGAGTTCTTGAAGGACTTTAAAAGTGCCATTCCAGTGAACACATGAATGATAAGCAAAACCGCCTTATTGCTGATATGGAGAAAGTTTTAGTGGTCTGAATAGAAGATCAAACCAGCCACAATATTCCCTTAAGCCTAAGCCTCATCCAGAGGAAGGCCCTGATTCTCCTCAATACTAGGAAGGCAAAGAGATGTAAGGAAGGAGCAGAAAAAAGTTTGAAGCTAGCAGAAGTTGGTTCATGAGATTTAAGAAGCCATTTCCATAACAAAGTATAAGGTGAAGCAGCAAGTGCTGATGCAGAAGCTGCAGCAAGTTACCCAGAAGATCTAGGTAAGATTATCGCTACTTATGAAAGTAGCTGTGCTAAAAAACAGGTTTTCAGGGTAGATAAAACAGCTTTCCACTGGAAGAAGATGTCATCTAGGACTTTCATAGCTACAGAGAACAAGTCAATGTCTGTCTTCAAAGCTTCAAATGACAGGTTGACTCTCTTGTTAGGGGCTAATGAAGCTGGTGACTTGAAGCTGAAGCTGGTGACTTGAAGCTGAAGCTAATGCTCATTTATCATTCTGAAGATCCTAAGGCCTTTAAGAATTACGCTCAATCTGTTCTGCCTGTGGTTTATGAATGGAACAACAAAGCTGGATGACAGCACATCTATTTATGGCATGGTTTACTGAATATTTTGACCCACTATTGAGACTTACTGCTCAGAAAAGAATACTACTTTCAAATATTATTGCTCATTGACAATGCACCTAGTCAGCCAAGAGCTCTTATGGATATATACAAGGAGATTAATGTTTTCATTTCTGCTAACACAACATTCATTCTGTAGTTCATAGATCAAAGAGTAATTTTCCACTTTCATGTCTTATTATTTAAGAAATATATTTTGTAAAGCTGTGGCTGCCATAGATAGTGTTTCCTCTGATGGATCTGGGTAAAGTAAATTGAAAACCTTCTAGAAAGGATTCACCTTTCTAGATGCCATTAAGAACATTCGTGATTCATGGGAGAAGGTGAAAATAGCAACATTAACAAGAGTTTGGAAGAAGTTTATTTCATCCCTCTTGCATGACTTTGAGGGTGTTCAAAACTTCAGTGGAGGAAATAACTACAGATATGTGAAAAGAGCAAGAGAACTAAAATTAGAAGTAAAGCCTGAAGACATGACTGAATTGAAGAGGTTTCGTGGTAAAACTTGAAAGATGAGGAGTTGTTTCTTATGGATGAGCAAAGAAAGTGGTTTCTTGAGTTGGAATCTACTTCTAGTGAAGATGCTATGAAGATTATTGAAGTGACAACAAAGGATTTCGGAGATTACATAAACTTAGTTGATAATGCAGCAGCAGGACTTAAGAGGATTGACTCCAATTATGAAAGAAGTTCTATTGTGGGTAAATTGCCATCAAACTGCTAGCATTGCATGCTACAGAAAAATTATTCACAAAAGAGTCAACTGATGCAGCAAACTTCATTGTTGCCTTATTTTGAGAAACTGTCATAGCCACCCCAACCTTCAGCAACCACCACCCTGGCCAATCAGCAGCCATCAACATTTAGACAACACCCTCCAACAGCAAAAAGATTTTGACTCAGGGAAGACTCAGATGATTGTTACCATTTTCTAGCAATAAAGTGTTTTTTAGTTAAGGTGTGTTCACTTTTTAAATAATGCTGTTGCACACTTAATACATTCTAGTATAGTGTAAATATAACTTCTACGTGGACTGGGAAACAAAAAGATGCATGTGATTCACTTTGTTGCAATATTTCCTTCATTGCCGTGGTCTGGAACCAAACCGGCTATATCTCCAAGATATGCCTGTGTAACAAAGTGGCTGGATATAAGATAAATATTTAAATATTAATACCTTTCTCCCATATCAGCAGGAAGGCATTAGAAAACTTAATGAAGCAATTTTTAAAATTACAACAAAAAGATAAATCATCTAGGAATAATCTTAATGGCAAATACTTGAGATTTATATAAAGAAGACAAAAGTTTACTAAGAGATCCAAGTATTCATTAAAAAGAAGGGAAAAAAAAGATCCAGATTACATGCAGCTGTAAACTAAGTCAAACCAAGTATTTAAGAAGCATGTAGAATAAGGCCAGGTTCTCTTTTGAGCAAATGCTAAGTTAAATGCACAATCCATTGATACAGGTCTAAAATAGGTCAGCTGAAGTGTTCTTTAATATACCTATTAATTCTTATGTTCTTCCAGTGAACTAGAAGTTTATATGTCCTGATATTGATAGTGATATCAATAACACTATCTCTTTCCTATATAAGGTGTTTTTTTTCTAGAGTCATGTATCAGAAGAAATCATTATATAGCTCAGAAATATATGTTATAAATTGTTAATGTCATCTTTTTATACACAACTGCCACTTTTAATTGTCTTCTTAACAGTTCCTTTGGAAGGGCTACGAAGTCAAACCCAGTTTGAGGAGATGAGGTCAAGCTACATTAGAGAGCTCATCAAGGCAATTGGTTTGAGGCAAAAAGGAGTTGTGTCGAGCTCACAGCGTTTCTATCAACTTACAAAACTTCTTGATAACTTGCATGATGTAAGTATTTGGTTGATTCCAGAATATCAATGATTATTCTCTGAATTTCTATAACTTTTTAAATGTTACATGTAAATTTTACTTTGTATGATTTTCTCAGATTAATACTTGTATGTTAAAAGTGTTTGGATCATGCTGCTCAGACTTTTTATTGTGTTTTTTTTTCATTTTCAATATAGACCACTCAAATATTCTTTTACAAGTATTTGTATAATGTGAGGGTAATTTAATAGCTGATAGAAATTATGGTACATTTCCTGAATATGTTCTAAAATATTTGTGCCTAAAATTATAAAAGATTTTATATATACAGTAAAAACAAAGGTATGTATGTGAAAAATAAGACTCATGCCATTTTCAGTGGAATTATAAATAACATTGCTGATGGGTGGGCAATCAGGCAATACATAGCAAAAGTTAAAATTTGCATGCTTTTCAAGTTTCTATTTTTTAGGATTTATCTTAAAGAAATAATTAGACAAATGTAATATACATGCAAGGATGTTCACCATAGCAGAGGGGGAAAAAAGAAAAGCAAACAAGAAATGCCCAACACCAGAGGTGGATTACTAAGACAAGATATCTGTGGTTTGTCAAGATATATGAAATACAAGCTTTTATTGCTACTATGTTCAGATCACATTAAAATGACAGTGAAGGCATAAAAAAGCTATCCACTCTCCAGGTCAACTTTTGAGGTCTTACTCCTGAATACGAACAGACAGCCAAGATTATGAGCTATTTGAGTAAAGCCTCTAAAATGAAAGGCAGAAAGCAAAATAAAAAGAAACTTGAAGGAAATAAACACCAGTGCAGAGAACAGAAGAAAACTTCTAACATCCTCAGAGAAATAAGAATGATACGGTATCCATGACATGAGAACAGAAAACATTTTTAAAACAGACATTTAGCAAGAAAATACTTTTGGATAATTAAATGAAGAAAGGCAGAAATTGAAAATTCAATGAAAGGGCTGAAATGGAAAGGAAAATCTGAGGAAAAATAAAAGATCAAAACATGGAAAATTAGAAAGAAGAGTTATAGTAAATTTAGTATTCAGGAGATTCTAGCCTCCAATTAATAGGAATGTCCAGAAGAAAAAATAGAGAAAATCAAGGAGAGAAATTTGTGTAAGAAATCGCAAAAGTTGCTGGAACTGAAACATACAAGTTTTCTAACAAAAAGGGTCCGGTGTAGAGGCACTGCACAATTGAACTAAGGTACATTATTGTAAAATTGTACCAGGCCAGAAATGAAGAGAATATTTTAAAGTATACCAGTGATGAAAGAAACAGGTCACATAGACGTTATCAGGATTCAGAATGATGTTGGACTTCTCTGCAGCAACACTGGAAGCCAGAAGACAGTGGAGCAGTGCCTTCAGAATTTGATGGAAAAGAAAATCTTCAAAGAATTTCATACCTAGCCAAACCATCAAACAAGTACAATGGCAGCATGAAAGTATTTTCCAACTTGCAAGGTCTCCTAGAGTTTACCTCAGATACAACTTTCTCAAGAACTGCTACAGGATGTCTTATAACAAAACATGGGATTAAGCCAAAGATCCACCCCAACAGAGATGCAAAGTGATGTCCCAGAACAATAACTGTGCAGAGCAGTAGTTAGTCTAGATGGGAGCAGTAATACAAAGGGTTCTAGGATACCAGCTCCAGGAAAAATAAATGGAACTGAGAGATTACCACTAAGTATGACTGTAATTGAGGTGATTTTTACAATTCTGTTGCAGAATTTGACTATGGCTTTGAGACAAATATAGAGAAAACAAAGCAAACAAGAACACGAGGTGATTCACTTTTGCAAAATAAAAATAAGTCGTAAGAATGGAGATGCAATCCAGCAGAAAACCATAAAAAAATCTTTATGATATAAATGCTGGATATTGACTTTAGCTAAAAATTGAGCCAAAAGCTCTCTCTGGGGAGAAGAGAACATGTATGTAGTTGAGGAAGAGAGTGTCTAGTATAAGAGAGCTTCATTTTCTTCATTTCCTATAGTAGAAACTAAAACTAACTTTAGTGGAAATATAGAAATATCAAAAGACACAGGCTACAAAAAGTTGAAGGTAGTTGTGTCTAGGGAGCTGGAATAGGGATGGGAAGAAGTCTATCAGGAAACTGCTAGGCTCTATTGATGCTGCTGCTGCTGCTGTTTTTGTTTTTATAATCATGTGGTACTACTTGACTTTCAACATTATACACATGAATTACTTTGATAAAAATTAAACGATGTTGGATTATTGGCATAGGAAGAACCAATATGTTGTTATATAAAACAGCTAGATTAGCAAATAGAATTTATGAAACATGTGTAATATTGTGTGTATGCTTGGGTATGTCTGTATACATGTATAAAAAGAAAAAAAAACTTGAGTAATACACCAAAATGTTCACACAGCTTATCCTGTAGAATTGTGAATAACTTTCATTTCTTTAAATAAATCTTTCCATAATATCAGAATGTTCTATCATGAGTATATAACATTTTACATATTATTCTAGAAAATGGTGGGAGTTATTTTCACTATGGTAAGAAAAAAACACCTTGAGAAGTATTTATATTATAAATAGTTAGAAAAATAAATTGCCATGTTTGAATAGCATATGAATTTATTATTTTTATTACATGTTTTCTACTCATTTGTTAAACCAACAGCTTGTCAAACAACTTCATCTGTACTGCTTGAATACATTTATCCAGTCCCGGGCACTGAGTGTTGAATTTCCAGAAATGATGTCTGAAGTTATTGCTGCACAATTACCCAAGATATTGGCAGGGATGGTGAAACCCCTTCTCTTTCATAAAAAGTGAATGTCATCTTTTTCTTTTAAAGAATTAAATTTTGTGGTATGTCTTTTTGTTTTGGTCAGGATTATGAGGTCTTGAGTTTTTATAATGTTCTTCTGAAAGCCTTACATTTATAACATCATAGTGTGTAAATTTAAAAGAAAAATTGTGAGGTTCTAATTATTTTCTTTTATAAAGTATAATTAGAATGTTTAACTGTTTTGTTTACCCATATTTTCTTGAAGAATTTACAAGATTGAAAAAGTACTAAAATTGTTAAAGTAAACTATCTTATCCATATTATTTCATACCATGTAGGTGAGGATTTTTAACTTTTGCATCTAACAAATCATCGACTTAAGAGAAAAAATCTTACATGTAATAACACAAAGCTATTATATGTTATTTCTAGGTAACTCCCTTTGTGTCAATTATATTTCCAAAAATGAACCTTTAAAATGGTATGCAAAATTTTGTCTATATATATTTGTGTGAGGAGGAAATTCATAACTTTCCTCAGATTTTCAAAAGTATTTTTAATGCAAAAAATGTAGAAAGAGTTTAAAACCACTAAAATAGATTGATGTTCTTCAAACTAGGCAAAACAACTCATATGTTAAGACCATTTTCCAGATTGGAAACACAAATCTCTTAGGAAGTTAATAAGTAGATTCATATCATTATGCAAATAGTATTGTGGGTTTTGTAGGTTTTTAAAATAACCTTTTTTGGGGAGAGAATTGTCCTCTAATGAGGTATTGCGAGTGGACATAAGAAATCAGAAGATTATGGCCTAACTGTACTCCTTACCAACTGTGGCATGCTGAAAGTTAGTCACTCTTACTGATTCTCAATTCTCTCACCTTTGAAAGTAGTAAAATATCTTTCCTGCCAATTGCTCCTTTGGGTCAGAGCTTATTAACATCTTTTCAAATCAAAGGAAAGAAGAAAGGGAGAGGAGGAGGAGGGAGGTATCAATTCACATACCTTTCTCCTCTTTATCCTCCACTATCATGAATTCATATTATGTTTCAGCCATGCAAATCTTTTTACCATGAAATTTCTTCCAGAATTTTCCCCCTTTGACACAAATTCCATGCATGTTTCAACCTTCGAGACTCAGCCAAATGTCATTTCTGTAAAATCTTCCCTGAGTCTTCCAAGCAGTAATTTGCCTTCTCCTAGAGTTTACCTGCCATTTTGTGCACATTTGAGTTACAGTAGCATGTTATTTTACAATTGTGACTCTCCTGGGAGTCTGGGAGCCATATAAAGTGGTCAATAGTGTTTGCTGACTGAGAGTTGAATGACATTTTCTCTCTGTCTTGGTATTACTGTAGATTTCGATCATTCTTTGGTTACATTTCTGCATATTTCTGTACCCATGACTTTATCACTTTCTTCTCCCATGCTTTATCTCCATCAATTATCTTCATTACTTTTAAATTTTCCACCTTTGCTTCCTACTTTGTGAGATCTCTCCCTTTACTGACTATAACATAGAAGAATAGAAGTGTATTTTATGTGTCTTAAGGACAATACTTTAGATTCCTTGTTCTAAGTTTTTAAACTGAATGAATGGAATATTATTTCTCTCCCTAAGCAAAATTCCACAAAACAATTATTTCTTATGTTTATGTAGCCTTAAATTGTTTTGTACTGTAAACCTCAGCATAAAAACTTTCTTCATTTCTAATTTCATTCAACAAATATTGATTGAATACCTGGTATTAGCACAAGAAAAATGTGCTAATAAGCCTTATGAGAATTTGGAGCTGAAGAAAGACATATAACTCAGGAAAGTTACAGTCCAGTAGTAGGTATAAATTACAGTGCCTGATAAATAGGCATTTTAATATTTGTACACTCAACGTATACTAGGTAGGTGCAAAACATTTACATATAATTTTACTGATACCCATGCAGCACAAAGGTACTAACTTTAAATATTAAATAACACCTTTATGTGTCAGTAATTCATTTGCATTAAATCTTATTGAAAAGGCTTTCAATATATTTTCCCCACAAATGTCATCCCAAGAAAAAAGTATTTTTAACATCTCCCAAATATAATAGTTACAGGAAATCTACCTCTGTGAGAGTGACACCTCTCAGAATGAACTGTGTGACACAAGAAAATGAATGTAGGTCTATCCAAAAAAAACCCCAAGAAACAAAAACAATATTATTAGCCCTTTAT
The DNA here is from genome assembly GCF_000001405.40 of Homo sapiens. Lineage (NCBI taxonomy): Eukaryota > Metazoa > Chordata > Mammalia > Primates > Hominidae > Homo > Homo sapiens. Next base: position 101,036,939 of record NC_000011.10, on the reverse strand, counting down.
GCTTAAGTGATGGACTCAGGGAACAGTTGATGTTGTGATCATTTTATTATCTGATTCTTGTTACTTTGAATTAAACCAATATTTTGATGATATAAATCATTTCCACCAGCATATATTTAATTTCCATAATAACTTTAAAATTTTCTAATTTCACTCAACTATGAGGGAATAGAATGTGGTGGCCACAGGTTTGGCTTTTGTTAAAATGTTTGATATCTTCGATGTTGATCTCTGTCTGCAATGTAGATGTCTAAACACTAGGATTTAATATTTAAGGCTAAGCTTTAAAAATAAAGTACCTTTTTAAAAAGAATATGGCTTCACCAAATGGAAAATACCTAATTTCTAAATCTTTTTCTCTACAAAGTCCTATCTACTAATGTCTCCATTACTATTTAGTCATCATAACCATTATCTTCATTTTACATGTCGTGTTCTTTCTGGTAGCTCTAAAATGACACTAAATCATAAGAAGACAGGTTACATATCAGGAAATACTTGAAGGTTACTGAAATAGATTCTTGAGTTAATGAAAATATTTTCTGTAAAAAGGTTTGAAAAGCCATTTGAGTCTAAAGCATTATACCTCCATTATCAGTAGTTATGTGACAATTGTGTGTGTGTTTAATGTTTAAAGATGTGGCACTTTTTAATAAGGCAATGCTATGCTATTTTTTCCCATTTAACATTAAGATAATTTATTGCTATACAGATGATATGGAAATATGATGAACAATATTTTTTTTGCCAAAACTATGCCTTGTAAGTAGCCATGGAATGTCAACCTGTAACTTAAATTATCCACAGATAGTCATGTGTTTGATGATGGGCACTGTGGAGATAACTGACATAGGACTGTGCCCCCCTTCTCTGCCACTTACTAGCTGGATGAGATTAAGCAAGTCATTTAACTGCTCTGATTAAACCTGCCTTTCCCAAGTGCTTTGTAATGAATAGAAATGGAAACCAAAAAAAACGTATACAGGCCTTCAGAAATAGTAATTGCTACTATTTTGTTTTCATTAAGCCATAGTTCTGGCTATAATTTTATCAAACTCACCAGCTATATTCTACAGTGAAAGCAGGATTCTAGAAAGTCTCACTGTTTTATTTATGTCACCATGTGCTATGATATATTTGGTTGAATTCATTTGAAATTAGGGCTGGAAGTATTCAAGTAATTTCTTCTGCTGAAAAAATACAGTGTTTTGAGTTTAGGGCCTGTTTTATCAAAGTTCTAAAGAGCCTATCACTCTTCCATTGTAGACATTTTAAAATAATGACACTGATTTTAACATTTTTAAGTGTCTTTTTAGAACAGAGAGCCTGACTAGAACACAGCCCCTCCAAAAACCCATGCTCAAATTATTTTTACTATGGCAGCAATTCCACAAAAGGGAACAATGGGTTTAGAAATTACAATGAAGTCATCAACCCAAAAAACATCCCTATCCCTAAGAAGGTTATGATATAAAATGCCCACAAGAAATCTATGTCTGCTTTAATCTGTCTTTTATTGCTTTGGAAGGATGGCTATTACATTTTTAGTTTTTGCTGTGAATACCTGAGCAGTTTCTCTCATCCATACTTATCCTTCACACATCAGAAGTCAGGATAGAATATGAATCATTTTAAAAACTTTTACAACTCCAGAGCCATGTGCATAAGAAGCATTCAAAACTTGCCAAAACATACATTTTTTTTCAAATTTAAAGATACTCTATTTTTGTATTCAATAGCTCAACAACTGTGGTCCCCACTGATAAAGTGAAGTGGACAAGGAGACAAGTAATGGCATAAGTTTGTTTTTCCCAAAGTATGCCTGTTCAATAGCCATTGGATGTGGGAAATTTCTACATCTCTTAAAATTTTACAGAAAATACATAGCCAGATAGTCTAGCAAAAGTTCACCAAGTCCTAAATTGCTTATCCTTACTTCACTAAGTCATGAAATCATTTTAATGAAAAGAACATCACCTAGGTTTTGTGGTTTCTTTTTTTCTTATTCATGGCTGAGTGAAAACAACAATCTCTGTTTCTCCCTAGCATCTGTGGACTATTTAATGTACCATTATTCCACACTCTATGGTCCTTACTAAATACAAAATTGAACAAAAAGCAGTAAAACAACTGACTCTTCACCCATATTATAAAATATAATCCAAGCCAGATTAGTCAACATCCATAAGATGAATCCAAGCTGAACTGGGCCTAGATTATTGAGTTCAGGTTGGATCACATCCCTATTTATTAATAAACTTAGGAAAGAAGGCCTTACAGACCATCAGTTAGCTGGAGCTAATAGAACCTACACTTCTAAAGTTCGGCCTAGAATCAATGTGGCCTTAAAAGCTGAAAAGAAGCAGGAAAGAACAGTTTTCTTCAATAATTTGTCCACCCTGTCACTGGAGAAAATTTAAGAATTTGGGGGTGTTGGTAGTAAGTTAAACACAGCAGCTGTTCATGGCAGAAATTATTCAATACATACCTTCTCTGAATATCCTATAACCAAAGCAAAGAAAAACACCAAGGGGTTTGTTCTCCTCCTTGGAGTTGACCTCATTCCAAGGCAGAGCTCAGGTCACAGGCACAGGGGCTGCGCCCAAGCTTGTCCGCAGCCTTATGCAGCTGTGGAGTCTGGAAGACTGTTGCAGGACTGCTGGCCTAGTCCCAGAATGTCAGCCTCATTTTCGATTTACTGGCTCTTGTTGCTGTATGTCATGCTGACCTTATTGTTAAACACAGGTTTGTTTGCTTTTTTTCCACTCATGGAGACATGGGAGAGGCATTATTTTTAAGCTGGTTGAAAGCTTTAACCGATAAAGCATTTTTAGAGAAATGTGAATCAGGCAGCTAAGAAAGCATACTCTGTCCATTACGGTAAAGAAAATGCACAGATTATTAACTCTGCAGTGTGGCATTAGTGTCCTGGTCAATATTCGGATAGATATGAATAAAATATTTAAATGGTATTGTAAATAGTTTTCAGGACATATGCTATAGCTTATTTTTATTATCTTTTGAAATTGCTCTTAATACATCAAATCCTGATGTATTCAATTTATCAGATATAAATTATTCTAAATGAAGCCCAGTTAAATGTTTTTGTCTTGTCAGTTATATGTTAAGTTTCTGATCTCTTTGTCTATGACGTTTACTAATCTGCATTTTTACTGTTATGAATTATTTTAGACAGCAGTGGTTTCAAGCTTTTTGCCACTAAAAATACCTTTTATTTTCTCCTCCCCCAGAAAAGTCTATACCTTGAAGTATCTATCCACCAAACTGTACTTCTATTAAGAAATAGTTATTGTGTTTTCTTAATGTTTTGTTATTCAAAGACATATCAATGAAAGCTGCTGAGCAGCATGAATAACAATTATATCCACACAGATTTGATATATTTTGTGCAGCCTTAACTTGATAGTATAAAATGTCATTGCTTTTTAAATAATAGTTAGTCAATGGACTTCTATCATAGCTTTCCTAAACTAGGTTAAGATCCAGAGCTTTGGGGTCATAATATATTACATACAATTAAGTTATCTTTTTCTAAGGGCTTTAAAATTCATGAGAATAACCAAAAAAGGTATGTGGAGAGTTAATACAAACATACCATATTCTTGTTGAAACAGAGATGTGGCTCTGCTTGTTCTCCATAAGGTAGAAATACTTTCCAGAATTTGCCTAAACTAGTAAGCCCTGAATTTGCTATGATTAGGGATAGGAAGAGATTTTCACATGGCAGACTTTAGAATTCTTCACTTTAGCCAGTAAAGTATCTCCTTTTGATCTTAGTATTCTGTGTATTTTAACTTTTCTGAGTTGTGCATGTTTATAAGAAAAATCAGCACAAAGGGTTTAAGTTAAAGCCTTTTTACTGAAATTTGAAAGAAACAGAAGAAAATATCAAAGTTCTTTGTATTTTGAGAGGATTAAATATGATTTACAAAAGTTACATGGAGGGCTCTCTAAAACATTAAATTAATTATTTTTTGTTGAAAAGTCTTACTTTAGGCATCATTTTATTCCTCAGCAACTAGCTGTGAAGCCTTTACTGTGCTGTATGCCAGTCACTCTGCTAGATTGTGGAGATTACCAGTGTTCCCGTCTTCTCCGAGCTTAGAGTTGGATGGGGAATAAAGACAGGTAAACAGATAGCTACAATATTGTACTGTGAATGCTTATGCTGGAGGAAGTACAGGGAACTATTGGAGCACCTAAGAGGAGCACCTACCTTGAATTTAGGGGTTAGCAGAGGCATCCTGAAAAAAGTCAAAGCTAAGCCACAATCTATAAGCAGTTTAGGAATTAGCAGAACGTGCGTGGTGAGGAGATGCCAAAGGCAAGAAGAGAAGAGTATTCCAAACAGGAGGGATTCCAAAGAGAGAAGAGTATCCCAAACAACATTTGCACAAACCTGATGGGGAGAGAGAATGTGGGGTGGGGATGGATGATGAGACTGAAGAAGAAAGCCAGGTCTAGATAATCAGTGGCCTTGTACACCATGTTAAAGAGTGTAGACTTGATTCTGTTGTAAACAGGAAAGCAGCACAATTCATATGAATATTTTAGAAGACTCCCACTGGAATATGGAGAATAAAGTTGGAGATGACTAATCCTGGAAGCAGGGAGAACATTTTTGAGGAAGTTGCACTATTTTGGTGAAAATGATGATCATAAACATGAAGAATTGTAGGTGATCATGACCTCCTCTCTAATTTTCCAGAAGGGTTTTGGAAGATATAACATAGGAACATTGACAGGACTGACGAAAGGAGATGAAATACACCATATAAATTGTCAAACACAAGGCCAGATGTCTAATTATTTTGCTTATGTGTTGAAATTACAAATTTTTCATCAGGAAACCAAAAACTACAAAACTTAGTTTTCCCAAGTCCCAGAATTCTATCTGTCCAAACAATCTGTACCACTCCACCTATATCCCTACCTTTGCATGTCTGTCCAACCTCAAAGTCCAGGTCTATACACACGGGTAAGACTAGAGCAGTTCAAGTTTCAGAAAATGAGAAAGAGGAACTGAGTTGTGCTGAACCCATACAAAATAAACACATTCTTTGTATAGATTCTTGGAACCTCGAGAGGAATTCACCTAACTCATAGGTATTTGATGGTATGAATCCATGGCTGGGCTCGGCTTTTAAAAAGCCTTATCTGGGATTCCTTCTATGGAACCAAGTTCCATCAAAGCCCATTTAAAAGCCTACATTAAAAACAAAATTCTTGCTGCATTGTATACAAATAATGATGTCATGATCAAATAATCAGATGCCATTATCAAGTGGAATTACAAAATGGTATACCCACTCCAAAAAAAAAAAAAAAGCTAAATTCTCAGTAGAACATTGTGACTTCATGAGCCCTCCACAGCCTTGGAGCTGAGGAGGGAGCACTGGTGAGCAGTAGGTTGAAGAGAAAACTTGGCGCTTAATAATCTATCCATGTTTTTTCATCTAAAAGAGCCTTCTTTTTGGATTACCTTATTCAATTTCCATCAAGGAAATTGTTAGTTCCACTAACCAGACAGCAGCTGGGAAGGCAGAAGCTTACTGTATGTACATGGTAGCTGTGGGAAGGAGGTTTCTTTCTCCAGGTCCTCACTGGCCATACACCAGTCCCTTGTTAGTTATGCCTGGTCATAGACCCCCGTTGCTATCATCTCATATTTAAGTCTTTGGCTTGTGAATTTATCTATTCTTTCAGCTTCAGCACTGCAGAGTGCTGGGACTTTGCTAACTTCCATTTCTTGCTGGCTTAGCACATTCCTCATAGGCCCAGCTCTTTTCTCATCTGGCCCTGCTGTGGAGTCACCTTGCCCCTTCAGGAGAGCCATGGCTTACCACTGCCTGCTAAGCCTCCACTCAGCTGCCACCACACTAAATCCAAGCTTCTCTAAGATGTTGCAGACTTTACAGGCAAGCATAAAAGGCTTGATCTTCCTGGACTTCCCTTTACTTGTCTGAATCTCACCTCCTTCAACTTTCAGTCTCAGAATGTAGGCATTTGTCCTCTTTGCCCTACATCTTCCTTCTTCTGAATCATGAAAGCCTCTCACTTCCTCTTGCTATGTGCTGGAGGCTTCTGTCAGGTTTTAGAATGAGTTCTCATCTAGTCCTAGTAGCTTTTGATGCTTAAGTCCACCTTTTAAGGATACCTTTGAGATTTAGACCATGTTTTTCGCTTGAGAAAGCCCTAATCTCCAGACTTGCCTTTCTGTGGATTTCAAAGACCAACTGAGGAAGTCAAAAGCTGAATGTTGACTTTCTTTGAACATTTCCGCTATAACAATTCCAATTCTCCTCAGAGCAATATGCCTGCCTCCAACTGACCAGGAGAAAGGTCCAGTGCCAAAGAGAAAAACACAAAGATTAATTATTTCAGTTGAGCACATACTTTCAAAGTGGTTTGGGTATTCATATGAGGTTTTCTGTCAAGAGGGTGAGACTCTTCATCTATCCATGTGTGCCTGACAGTTCTCCTGGCACTGGCTGGTAACAGATGCAAAACTGTAAAAATTAAGTGATCATGTATTTTAACGATATCATCACATACTTATTTTCTATGTAATGTTTTAAATTTCCCCTAACATACTTTGACTGTTTTGCACATGGTAGATATTCACATTTTTTTGTGTTGAAGTTGATGCAATCTTCAAAGTTATCTACCCCGTTGCTTATTAGTAAAACTAGTGTTAATACTTGGCAAGAGATGCAGGGAATCTTTCTCATGACTCACGCCCTATTTAGTTATTAATGCTACTACCCTATTTTGAGTAAGTAGTAGGTCCCTAAGTACATTGTCCAGAGTTATACTTTTAAAGATATTTAGCCCCATATACTTCTTGAATCTAAAGTCATACACCTTGCTCCTCATTTCTGAGTGGGAAAGACATTTGAGAGTATGTTGACAATTGTTCTGAAGGTTTTTGCCAAGAAGGTGAAACTGTCCTTTCATCTGTGTATGCCTGGGGCTGGGTCCCTGGCAGTGATGGGGTGACAATGCAAAGCTGTAAAAACTAGGTGCTAGTGGGCACCTAATATCATCATCATATACTTATTTTCAAGCTAATATGCAAAATCCCATCTCTGTTTTTAAACTAAGTGTAGATTTCAGAGAAAATATTTTGTGGTTCACATAAGAAAACAGTCTACTCAGCTTGACAAGTGTTTTATGTTAAATTGGCTGGTGGTTTGAAATGAATCATCTTCACATAATGTTTTCTTTAAAAATATTGTGAATTTAACTCTAATTCTTGTTATTCTGTGTGATAATAAAGAATAAACTAATTTCTATATCTCTCTTTATTAATGAATTATAGCATCTAAAACCTCAATACAATTACATACAAGACACACACTAATCATCAGTAGTACATTCTTTACCAGTCATTTAAAATTTATAACCAACATTTCAATTTGTACAATACTGTATGTGGCATAAGGTGAGATATTTATATGGAAGATTTGGCATTATAGAGAAAATATCCTTGACTGGGTATGCATTTTAGCAAAGCAAAGAGTGATTCTCAGGCAATCAAGTTGAAACCAACTACACAGTGTTTCAATCAGAAAGACAAAATACAATCAACTGACATCTAGTGAGATTCAATAATATACTGTTTTGGCTATTCACATTGATTAAAAAGTTTGGTATTATACAAGAATTTTCATATGAAATTTAATGCATTTCACATTAAGGTGAATGATATTCTACTTGTAATAACAAAGTATTTCAGACTACATTGGTTTCATTACTAGGAATATAATTTAGTATAGCTCTAGAAATATACAAATATGCTCCTTTAGTAAATAAAATAAATGCCTAAATTCTATAAGGAACTGATGCAGGCAAACCCTAAAATGGGGGCTCAGCTTGGGAGGATTTTTGGCTTAATTCAGAAAAGAATTCAAGAGGGAACCCACAGTGAAAGAAGCCAAGTTTATTGGAGCAACAGCATCCAGCAAAATGGCTACTCCACAGGCAGAGTAGCCCTCGTGGGTTGCTGGCTAGCTATATGTATACCAACTCTTAATTATATGCTAAATATGAGGTCTGTTATTCACAGATTTTCTGGAAAAGCTGCAGGGAGTTCTTGGAACTATATAACTTAATTTCTGGGTGTTCCCATGGCATTTGTAAAGTGTCATGGTGCTGGTGCAGTGTCTCATAGCCTGCAGATGCATTATAATTTCTAGTCCTAGCTGATTTGGGCCAGTTTCTTAGCTACATCCTGTTTTTGATCAGCAGGGTCATGAAAACAAGTCCTGGTGATCTTTTACCTCAGAACCATGTTAGGTCTTGGAGACACAAAGATAAATGAGTGGAACAGGATTCTTGCTGTAAGTTTGAGTTGATACAATGCCACATATTATTGTTTGAAATGTCAAAATACTTGTTTCTTATTGAATCAACTAGATTTGGAATAGACTGGAAAATCTGGAAAGCTTTATTGGATCATTTTTCCTATCACTTAAACACTATTTTTTCCTGGTTAATACCATGTTTTCGGTTTTTAAAACATGCCACCATATTCAGATTTACAAATGTAAATACGGTTGAGAAACTTCGTATTTACCTATGAAACAACATGCTGTTTTTTATAAATACTTGATTCTGATGGTTGGTGGAGTTTTTCCAATCAAAGTTAACTAATGAATAAAGAGAAAATGTGGCAAGTGGCTGTGAATGTCAACGCACATGAGACTTTTCCCTTGTGTCACTATATGTCACTGTATGGAGTCACTATAACAAACTAAGAGTATAGCTCTCTCTACACTAATCATGAATAAATACTTAATATCAAAGATCAAGTTTTTTAAAGCTATATTTTAATGGCAGGAGGTTGTATTTACCTAATCAGATGAAGTTTAATCCCATCTTATAAATGATTGAATCCAAACAAGTAGAATAACTATAATATGCAGAGATCCATGACCAGTTATTTGTGAGCAATTTGGAATTCATAAAGCTTAAACAACTTAGGTACTCTATGAAAAAGCAAAGTATTTTTATGTCTGAATTATGTCAGCTACCCGTAATTATGCTGTGATATAAGAAAGCAGTATAGTAAGAATATATGCTCTGGAGCTACACCTTCTCAATCTCATTTCAGGCTGTACCACTTGCTAACTATGTGACCTTGCAACATACTTTCACTCTCTGCCTTAGTTTTCTTATCTGTAAAATGGATATAACAATAGTACTTGTTTCATAGGGTTGTTATAAGGATGAAATCAGTATAAGAAAAATAAACTTAGAGCAGTGTGTGACATAGCAAGCACTATTTTGGTGTTTCATCCAAATTAAGTGGCTTTTTCCTTAATACATAAATGATTAAAGGTACAAAAGATATTAAACTTTTTTTTTTTTTTTTTGAGATGGAGTCTTGCTCTGTCACCCAGGCTGGAGTGCAGTGGCACGATTTCGGCTCACTGCAACCTCCACTTCCCGGGCTCAAGCGATTCTCTTGCCTCAGCCTCCCAAGTAGCTGGGACTACAGGTGTACACCACCAGGCCCAGCTAATTTTTGTATTTTTAGTAGAGACAGGGTTTCACCATGTTGGCCAGGATGGTCTCAATCTCCTGACCTTGTGATCTGCCTGCCTTGGCCTCCCAAAGTTCTGGGATTACAGGTGTGAACCACTGCACCTGGCCTAAACTTTTATATTATATAAACTAGTAAAAATAATTTTTAATATTTTAGGTCATGGGAAATTCAGCAGCATAGTAATTATCAAAGTAGTAAATTTTTTCAGCAAAGGAGGTCAAGGATAGACTGTTACAAGTGAAAAAAATAGGATATTAATCAACAAAATTCTCAATCTGAATAGCCACAATTTTTCAGTTTCTGTACCTGAAATAGTTTCTGCATGGGACAGATTGGACTAACCAAATTTATCTCATTTTTATGACTCTAGCCTAACTACCCTCCCCATTAAATAATGTTTTTAAGTATATACAAAGGGAAAAAAACAACTTTTTGAATTATGAGATATACTGAATAAAACAATAATGAAAAAGCTATTTATAAAATAGTTAAGATTAGATTATAAATCTAAAGTTGTATTTTCTTGGCCCTAAAGGACTCCAATATTGTTTACATCTCAAATTATTGGCCGGGTGCGGTGGCTCACGCGTGTAATCCCAGCACTTTGGGAGGCCGAGGCGGGCAGATCACCTGAGGTCAGGAGTTCGAGACCAGCCTAGCCAACATGGTGAAACCCCATCTCTACTAAAAACACAAAAATCAGCTGGGAGTGGTGGTGGGTGCCTGTAGTCCCAGCTACTTGGGAGGCTGAGGCTGGAGAATCACCTGAATGCAGGAAGCAGAGGTTGTAGTGACCAGAGATCGCACCGCTGCACTCCAGCCTGGGTGACAAGTCAAAAAATAATAATAATATGAGAAGCACAAAGTAAGATCTTTACTTTGAGAAATATTGTTTTATGTAGTCCTTGTTTTGACACATGATGAACAGCTTGGAAATCTAAAATAATTCATTTTTTTTCAAATAAAATTTGACTCATGTGAATGAAATATGTTTTAAAAAGAATAAAATAAAATCCAACATTAATCACTTTTAACCTGTGTATATCATAATGTGGGTAGAATATTTATTGTTTTACATAGTGTATTTTATTTTTCTTTCCATGGCAGAAAACATTTGTCATTTTTTTTCATTGATATTTTCAAATTTTATAACATCTAAAACCAGGATGTATCCTGTAATACATGTTATCATACAATGCTATGTCCCAAGTAGGTCATATACAGTTATGTAAAAACTTTTCCTTAATACCTTGTGATAAGATTAGAAGACATCACTAGCATCAAAGTGTCTTACATTCAATTAAATACTATGTATGTATTCCTTCTTCATTAATAGAATTTCATTTTTCCTACTTCTTTTACCCTATGCTAATATCAATTCCTAATTATTAGAAACCAACAATCAATTTGAAATCAGTGTTGCTGGTTTTTTAGCTGTCACTGATTTGAGTACCTACTATGCACTAAGTCTTGTATTAGAGAACTTTACATACATTTTCCCTACCCATACAGCAATCTATACAAGCTAAACCTGAGTCACATTGTACAGAAGTTTAAGTAGAGGTTCAGAGCAGTCCACTAAACCTGAAAAATGCCAGGTGCAGTGGCTCATGCCTGTAATCCCAGCACTTTGGGAGGCCTAGGCAGAAGGATCACTTCAGGTTAGGAGTTCGAGACCAGCCTGGCCATCATGGCGAAACTCCATCTCTACTAAAAATACAAAAATTAGCCAGGCTTGGTGACGCACGCCTGTAATCGCAGCTACTTGGGAGGCTGAGGCACAAGAATCACTTGAACCTGGGAAGCAGAAGCTGCAGTGAGCTGACATCAGGCCACTGCACTACACTACAGCCTGGTCAACAGAGCAAAACTCCATCTCCCCCACAAAATTTTTTAAATTAAATAAACGAACCTGAAAAACATCGTTTGCACCATTTCTTTTTCCAAAACAAAAGAAGTTTCTGTCACAGAAAACTGGGGAGAGGGGAGTCAATGTTCTGGGAAAATCAACTATAAACAGCACTAATTTCCCAACAGCACAGCCTGTGCTAAGGAATTCATCAGAGATCAAAAGAAACTCAACTCCTCTCCTACTAAATTTGGGATTAAAAATTGCATTTAGATTTAAGTACTGGAAATATATTCTGAGACAACATTTTCTTGCAAGTAATTGACACGGTCTGTGCAGTTGGGGAAACTGTCTAGTGACAGAAGATAGCACTCTGGATTAAAGAGTTGACTGATAGCTCCTAGATCTACAGAAATTACTATAATACAGTGGTTTTTTTAAAAAAATACATACACATCTTAAAGAAAATATATCTTAAAATTTTATTCAGTGATATTAGGGAATGCTATATAAATTATGATAAATATATCATTCTTGAAAATCAAAAGTTCCTCCGATTTAACCTTTAACACTGAATCATTTGGAAAGGAATTTTTTTAAACACTTCTTTTTTTTAAATTATACTTCAAGTTCTGGGGTACACGTGCAGAACATGCAGGTTTGTTACATAGGTATACATGTTCCATGGTGGTTTGCTGCACCCATCAACCCGTCATCTACATTAGGTATTTCTCCTAATGCTATCCCTCCCCTAGCCCTCCGCCCTGGAATGTTTTTTTAATAGTTGGAACTCTGGGGATAAAATCATATTCTCAGTATTTTCATTATATTAAATAGTTCTGATATAATTGATGACTTAATGTTCTATTTCAAAGCTTCCTTATTTTATCTGAATGTTTTCATGTTTATGTAGCAGAAGGTTAAGATAAGTAACCATATAATACTTATATAAAGGTAATACAGATTTAGACACTAAGCATTTCTGTTGAAAATATTTAAAGTTGGGCCACATTTTAGACAAAGAGAAAACATGCAGGATATATCACATTTAAATTTTGAAGTTACGTCACATATATATATACATATATCATTTAATTTTTTTTTTTTTTTTTTGAGATGGAGTCTTGCTTGTTGCCCAGGCTGGAGTGCAGTGGCGCGATCTCGGCTCACTGCAAGCTCCGCCTCCCGGGTTCACGCCATTCTCCTGCCTCAGCCTCCCGAGTAGCTGGGACTACAGGCGCCCGCCACCACGCCCCCTGGCCAACTTTTTGTATTTTTAGTAGAGATGGGGTTTCACCGTGTTAGCCAGGATGGTCTCGATCTCCTGACCTCGTGATCCGCCCGCCTCGGCCTTCCAAAGTGCTGGGATTACAGGCGTGAGCCACCGCGCCCGGCCTCATTTAAATTTTAAATTCCTTAATTTGTTAAATCCATTTTAGCAGAATTGTACGGTAGAATTAGTTGTTTTTTTAAAATAAGATTTAAATTACACCAACTTGGATGATATAGAACAAGAGAAATATTTTTACTTGTCATATTTATTTTGATTTTTATAAATCTATACACATTTCCTAATGATCACAATGTTTGTAAGATGCAGTGTTCTTATTGAAACATTACTAAGTAATGAAAAATTAATCAAAGGAAAGAATAATTTTAAGATGGATCAATGTCAAGAAATAGTTTTTTGAAAAGTTTTAAGATTCACAAACCATTATTATGAATCTATTCAAGTTCTTAAATGATGTTATTAAAAAGTATGGATAGTAAGAAACATATCAACTAACTCCTCACTAAACTTGAGAAAATATAAAATAACTAAGGTAAAAATCCATAAATTACGCAACAAAATTGAAATTGAGGGGGGAAACTGCTATGCAATATTTATATTCATTTAACCAAATAATATATACATTTAGCTTTGACAAATTTTCAAGTTCTGGTACAAGTGTTTGTTTTGTTGATTTAAGAAAGGATAATTATCACTAAGAATTTCTAAAAAAAAAATAGAAAACAATAAAAACCTGGTTGATAACAGGTTATAGTATACTGGTAAAAATGGAGGTAATCAGTGAACAAGAACACAGATACCTGTGAACCTAAACAGAGATGGCCTATGTGCCAATTTCAGATACTTGTTAACAGCATGCAAATAAATACCTACAGTAAAACAAACTGCAGAACTTCACCCAGAGTTTTAAAAGATAGGTTTGTCACTGTTTTGAAAAGTAATCCACTGTGATTTTAGTAATCTATCTTTAATTCTGAGCCTCTGCATCATTATCTAACAAGCAGAGATAAATATTTTAATAAAGAGCTTTGCATTTAAATGCAATAGTGCCTATAAAATTCCTTCACAGACAAGAAAACCTTATACAAATATGACTTTTACTAAGAAATAGGTAAATACATTGCTAAACACCCTTAACAGATACAACACAACATTCTACAACATAGGTAGATGAAATTTATGAGTTTATAAATGAATAAATCTTGGGTCACCAAATATATGATTTTTCATAACCAAAATATACTAAGCTTACCAATATAGATACTTATTAGTTGAAAAGCCCAACAAACCTATATTCAAAAAAATTAGAATGCTGATCTGGTAAAGAAGTCATGGCACATGGGAGAAGGCGCTTTGTGTGGGAGTGCCTCTGGAGAATGGCATTTCAGGCCCACATGGACCTTCAACCTGTGTAGCTGAAGAGGTGGCTGTCAATGTAGACCCATGCCCCACAATGGGAGATAGATGAGGAGCTGCTTCTTAGAAAACATGTCAAAAAATGATTGTTTGCACATACCCTGAATTTTTATAATTTCCAACCTTCAAATAGAGAATGATATTCATAACTATTATGTAAGAGGTCTTCAGTTTTAAACTAATTTTGTGAAGAGAAAAATATTTTATATTCAAAGGTCATGCAAAATTTAAGAAAATCATCTTTACTGGTAGCTCAGTTAATAGAATGTTTTCTGAACAATAAATAAGCATATGTCATGAGGAAACTGACTTAAGTAGAGGTGATCCAGGGACAGGAAGGGATTATTGTTTGTTCCCAAGTTATCTGAATTGGCTATCTAAACTGGGCTGAATTCACTTTTGCTGTGTAACTACAAAGTGTGTTTCATTCAAGAAATCAAAAAATGCTGAACTTATATTCCAAGGCTATTCACACTTCACATCATTTTTATATTTTTAAAAACTTTCTTCATAATACTAAATTACATATATCATGTGGAGCTAATTTATTTAACAAGTTGTTATCCTAAGTTATTTCTACTTAAGTAGGACTTACAGTGAAATTATTCAGGGATAATAAATGGCTCTTCTTAACTCTGCATGTGTATATGCATGAGTGAAAGCAACCTAGAGAAAGATACAGTCAGGTCCCTTTTACAAAAGACAGAAAACATTACCTACCATGAAGGCTAAAATATAGGGAAAAGAGTTTGGAAGCTTGAAATGAAAAAATTTGTGTTCTAAGCTGTGTTCTGACACTTCCTATTGAGTTGGCATGAGTTACCTATAACCGTTCTGAACTTCATTTTACCTATCTGAAAAAATGGGGGTGTATGACATACATGTAATCTCAAAATTCAACATTTTTGGAAATTATAGTATTATTTACTTCATTTTCGATTATTTAACTATGCCTTATTCTTATACTGAAATCTGGGTAACGGTTTAACAGATTTTTATTTAATTTCGTTTTATAAATTCTTAGTAGTTATTGTATTTGTTTAACTTTATGCAATTTGAACCTGAATGTTTCCATTTAATTACTGGAAAATGCAAGAAACAAATAGTTCCTTTTTATTTTCTACACATCTATCAATAATCTGAAGAAATTTATGGTACTTAAAAAATTCCCCCAAATAATTTTATTCTAGTTTTGTCCATTTAATTATGAAATTGGATAGCCATAGTATATAGCACTAGTTTGATTTGTAATACTTTCAAACCTTATGCAGTTTTCCCTGAACTAAAACTTTTCATTTTTTCTATATTCTATTATCACTAAATTTTAACTACATTTTAAAAAGTAATTTTTGTTTTATCTGCAAAAACAATTTTCCTTTTGTCTATTTCCTCTCTATCCATTCCCTTTAATAAAATCTTGGTTCTGAAAAACAAGTCATGTTTTCCACTATATTTTTCTAAAATTTAATTTGACATTACTGTTCAAAATGTTAATTTGCTTTTTCTCAGCTATTTTCAGAAAAGCTCATTTTTTAAATGACTTAAAATAATAAGCAAATAGGCCAGTCACAGTGGCTCTTATCTGTAATCCAAGCACTTTGGAAAGCTGAGGAGGGTGGACCATTTGAGTCCAGAAGTTGGACACCAGTCTGGGCAATATATGGAGATCTCATCTCTATAAAAAAAATATGAAATTATTCAGGTGTGGTAGTCCCAGATTTTCAGGAGGATGAGGTGGGAGGATTACTTGATCCCGGGAGGTCAAGGCTGCAGCGAGCCATGGTCGCACAATTGCACTTCAATGCCGGTGACAGAGCAAGGTCCTGCCTCATCATCATCATCATAGTAATAACAATAATAAGCTTCACACCACACCCTAAGGATAAACTAAGTCAAACAGAAATATTTAAGTTTGTTTTATTGGTTAAAGCAGAATAGTAAAATCATTTTAATGATTTTAACATGTCAAGTTTAACAAAGTGCATGATAAATATAAAAATTAGTTGTTTAAAAATCATCTTCAAAATATGTATTTCAAATCAATAAGGTCCTCTATATTAATTTGAAAGTCACTATGTTTTGATCTGTTTTTAAATATTTTTCTGTATGGAACTTTTGAATGACATGTGAAGAACATGTACTGCTAAAGGATGTATAAATTAATTCATCTTGTAATAAACAGCAATCTTATTATTTAAAACATTAATGTTAAAATGCATTGCTAGCTCTGATATATTTATTTCCACATATCAAATTCATTATTTTTACCTATCCAAATACCACATTCTAGTATCTAAATTGGTAACTCTTATACCCAGATATGTGTTGCACTTAAAATATCTTATTGCTTATAAATATGTTTCTTCCTTTGCCTGGGTTTTTTTTGTTTGTTTGTTTGTTTGTGTTTTTTTTTTTTTGGATTCTCAATATACCGTTTAAGCTTAATTAAAACAAAAATATGGTCAAAGAGTCATAGGATGTTAGAGTTGCACAAGCCTCTAAAAATCATCTGGTCCATGGGTTCTTTATCCGTGGGGCAACAACTGGTTTTGAGGCAGTTTGAATCCCAACCCAGTCTATGCAGAATTTTAGTGTCTGTGTATGTACACATGCTTTCCATTGCTCTCATCAGCTTCTCAGAGGGGTCAGCAATGAAACACATGTTATGAAAGAAATCAATTCCATCACTTCATTTTACAAATAGAGAACTTGAGACTCAAGAGAATCTGTGACTCATCCAAGCTCACAGTGAGGTCCAGATGGGTCCAAGCACAGGAGCCTCTGCCCTGTGGAGTTAGGGTGCACCACACTCCCAGCATGTGGTTGTGTTCAACAATCTAGAAGCTCCCTGAGCCCCATACTTTAGGATGTGAGTGTGAGAGTTGGAGCAAGGTGCTGGTTCGTAGATTAAGGGGAAAAATCAGTTTTTCTTTCTGAACTTACGCCATTGTCAATACTTCACATCTGACACCAGATTCATGGAGTTTTTTCCCACAATTCTCCAATTCTCTGCAGACAACTGGGTGTCCTACGATGCAATCAATTCCAGTACTGTCTGGAGTTAGCACAGACCTCACTTGTTAAGGGCCCTGTCCCATAAGACTGCTCCCACTCCAGATGCCAATCGAAAGGGGGTGGGTTCCCAGCTTTTCCACAATTTCTATCTGACTTGGCTACAAATCAAAGGTTCCCACAACCCCACCCAGGTTCATTCCTTTGTAGAACAGCTCACAGAATTCGGAGTAACACTCATGTTTACTAGTTTAAGGTAAAGATATGATAAAGGATACAGATGAAGAGGTACATAGGGTGAGGTCCAGAAGGGTAGAAGTTCACGAGCTTCTGCCCTGTGGAGTTGGGGTGCACCACCCTCCCAGCTAGGGATGTGCTCAACAGTCCAGAAGCTTTGTGAACCCCATACATTAGGGATTTTTTTTTAAGGAGGCTTCATCACATAAACGTAATCCAATTATTAACTCCAGCTCCTCTCCCCTTTCCAGAGAATGAAATCTGAGACTCAAAGTTCCAAGTTTCTAATCACAGTTTGGTCATTCTGGTAACCAGCCCACATCTGGGGGTCCACCAAGAGTCACCTCATTAGAACAAAAAATGATCTTATTACCCAGGAAATTCTGAGGGATTTTGGAGCTCTGTGCCAAGAACCAGGCCAAACACCAAATATTAGAACAAAAGATGCTCCTAGAACCTCTATTAGGAAATCCCAAGAGTTTTAGGAGTTTAGGAGTTTTAGACTTAGGAACTGAAGGCAGAGACCAATATGTATATTTCCTATCATTTCACAAGATTGACCTCAGAATGTTATTGATCTGTAGAGCTCCCAACATAAGTGGGTTTTCAGCTAACACCCACTTGTGGCTTCCCCATAATTTGGTCTTCATAAAGTTAAAAGTGAATTTAATCTCCCATTTCAGTCAGCATCACAGTATTATTACACCATAACTATAATGTAATTAGAATTTATTATTCATATTTTATCCCTTAAAATATATATTTATGGAAAAATTGAAATGCATTTCTCATAATTCTGCAGATAAATCGAGTTATTTCAGAGCACAATAAATTTCTGACCATCCTTTTTTCTCAGTCAAAAGAAATGATAGAAGTTGTCATTTCTGCTCCACTGATCATGGTGCTTGACCTATTCACTAGTAAATATTGTGTAACCTTTTACTTTCTTATTATCTGGAGTTAGAGGTGATATAAAATAAATACAAAAGTCAGAATAAAGTTTAATAAAGATTTATCAATTTCCTAACATTATATCTCATCTATGTCTGTCATTCATTTTTGTCATTCACTATTTTTGAAAAAAACTTAGTACAAAAAATATAGAATGAATAGAAATATAATATAAAATGAATAGACAAATGATTTCTATAAGATACATTCTGCTTCGAAATGCTCCAAAACATAGTTAGTAGGATTGGAAACAGAATTAAACAACTTTGTCTTCTAAAAGTGACCATTATTTTTTAAAAATCCAATCATCAAAATAGAAACATATTTTAAAGAATGATGACCTAAATTGGCTTTAAATGATTAGAGAGAATGGAATAGAAAATATTTCTTCTGAGCAAACAAGGACCGGAAATAACGACAGAAAGAAATGTCCCTCAGTGTTCCCTAAAGAGTAACCAATATATATTGAGCTCCTATTATGTGCCATTCAGGAACTTGTAGGATTATCTAAGTAAAAAACTGAAAAACAGAGCTCATACTCAATTAAATCATGGACTTGTTAGAGATGAAGAATATTACACATATGAGCAGAATTCAGGGAAATTTAAGCCATAATATAAATACATCTTAAATCATAGGCTTCAATTCTAGTGTTAGAGTTCAGAGAAGGGAGAAGGTGGTATAGACCAAAGGAATGAAGTCTGGAGCTGATAGAGGTTTGGGTTGGATAGTTTGACCAAATATAAAATAGCAAGTCAAAGTTACAGCATGAAACTCCTCAGAGTTGCAAATTTTCTTCAAAGTCTTTGGAGAACAAGGGCAATGAAAAAGCCAACTAAAAATAGAAAAAGTGCCTACATGTGTAGTTGAGAAATTTATATTATAAAAACCACAGCAAATTGGATTGAGCAAAAAAAAGAAGAGACATAGACATTTATCTTAAGTAGGACAACTACCATGTTTTGGCAGTGTCATTAAAAAGATATTATGTAAATAATAAAAATGGGAAAGAGTATTGAATAAGGTAATCTTAAAACTTGAAAAAATAAACATGTAATATCATATTAAAATGCCACAGTAAATAAAGCTTGTCTCTGGCATCATCATATAGAAATTATTTCATTTCTAATTCTTTCTCAAAACACTATTGCTGCTATTATGACTTATTTTGATGTTTCTTTTCCAAATAAAAACCTCAGCAGCCAAGGAACTCAAAATAAAGTAAAGCAACACACTTCATGAGGGCAGCCTACCCAAAGAGAAAGAAAGTGGGGGTTGGTGGGGGGTAGAGAGAGAAAAAGGTTTCAGTCTCTTAGCAGATTATGGTCCTTTTTAAGGTCATATTTAATTCAGTGCCAGGAACAGCAATTGTAAGAAAAATGTTGCAAATAAACTTCTCAGTTATATTAACAAGGATTACAGCTTCTTTTAAAACTCCTCTGTTTTCTAGCTCTGAAGGTCAATGAACATTCCCATGAATCTTTGTATGTTTGTACCAAAAGTGCGCTGTGAACTTAGGCAAAGGAGGTAACTCTGGCTTAGCTGGGCTTTTTAGGTTGATACTACAAATACAATTGAAACCTAGCCAGTTTCACACTATTGCAAAGCATTAAAAAAATACATTTGTAAGTGGCATCCAAAGACTCAGGAGTGATTCCAGAGAGAGTTGTGAAAGTGGACATTTATCTTTTGCAACGCTAACTGCTCTTAGTTCTCTGCCATCCTTCCTTAGGACATCTTCACATCTGTAGAGTCCCAATGAACTCAGTCTGCACCAGGCTGTACTAGCCTCCCCCAGCTCAGGCTACCTACTACACACTTGTGCCTTTCCACACTCACTCCCTGCAAACACACTCTCAGCGAACTGCCTCATTAGAAAGTAGCTGATCAATCAATACTCCAAAGAGTAAATAGAGTATGCCTCCCTGTGACATTTACCTGTTAAAGGAAAATATGTCTCATTCAAAGTGAATGTTGCTATTGCTGTTATCAGGCACACGTCTCTTAGGGAGAAGTTTTGGGGCAGTGTCGTCTTAAAATTTAGATTAATAGAAGTGCTTTTTTTGAAAGGATTGTATTTTTGTAGGTGATGATGACTACAGCTAGAAATTGAGAGCAATGAAAGTCTAATGTCTCTCCAATTACAGCTATGAGAGAAGATGTAAATATTTTCTAATGAAACTCAGTATTCACATATCAACGCATTTAGATTTACAAGTGGGCCCTGATAATACTTCCACATAAATCTGCATTTATTCCTTAGAGGTCTCTTTGAGATCTGGAGAAATAAATGATGCAGTAAATATGTTAGCCAGTCCACAATTTGTGTTTACTGTTAGAAGTCTCCAAACATCTTACAAATAACAGTCTTTAGGGTGGGAAAGAGCTAGAGACCATTCCTCTGCCCTTTGATTAAAGAACTTAAAACATATGCCCTTAGTACATTTCAAAGGGGACCTAAGGTGAACCTTTTCTTTTACCCTTGAGAGGTTTGTGGGTGTAATAAGTTGGGTTTTGAAGAGCCCACATGTAGTTCAGAGTGAATCAGTACACAGCTCAGAATTCCATGACGCTGGCCAAAATCCACCATCTATACTATCCCTGGAGATTTTTATGAGCTCTTTTTTTTTTCTTCTTCTTAAAGATCAGAAAGAGGTGCCTCAATTAGAAAGATGCTTCTACAAAAGTACCTGAATTCAGGTAACCCTTACATTCTGCTACATAAAAGTTTTAGCATATGTTAATTGCTCATGTGACCAGCCAATTTACAAATAAGACATACTAAACTGGTTATAATTTCTAAGTTTAAGACAGGTAAAGAGAAATAAGAACAATGTAATCAATGATAAAAATCTCCCGTGTTTCTCAGGATACTTAACCCATCTACACTTTACCTTTGGTACTTAATGTACCCTTCTTTGTTTTTCTATTTACTTTTTAAGTCTATTTCATTCTTCAAGGTGTGAATCAAGTTTCTCCTTGCCCATAATAATTTTCCTAATCTTCTTAATAAGAATTTATCTCACTTTCCTAGGAAGACTCTTTTTACCATGGCAACCACAGAAAGTTGACACAAAAGTTGAAGGAGCACTAGTGGCATTGCCGAGAGCTACAGGGGCCAACACTCCTTAGTTGGTTCTGTTTCTCCTGAACGACATATACTATGTTAAAATAGCTCATGAACTATCTGTAAACTTAAGCTCTAGGAAAAGTTGTAGTAATAAGATTCTTAGTTTTGTTACCGGGAAGGAGTCCCAATCTAGACCCCAAGAAAGGTTTCTTAGATCTCACGTAAGAAATAATTCAGGGTGAGTTCAGAGTAAAGTGAAAGCAAGTTTATTAAAAAAGCAAAGGAATAAAGAATGGCTACTCCATAGGCAGAGCAGCCCTGCAGGCTGCTTGTTGCCCATTTTTATGGCTATTTCTTGATTATATGCTAAACAAGGGGTGTGTTATTCATGAGTTTTCTGGGAAAAGGGTGGGTAATTCCCAGAACTAAGGATTCCTCCCCTTTTTGACCATATAGGGTAACTTCCTGACATTGCCATGGCATCTGTAAACTGTCATAGACCTGGTGGGAGTGTCTTTTAGCATGAATGTATTATAATTAGTGTATAATGAGCAGTAAGGACAACCAGAGGTCACTTTCCTGGCCATCTTGGTTTTGGTGATTTTTGGTCTGCTTCTTTACTGCAACCTGTTTTATCAGCAAGGTATTTGTGACCTCTATCTTGTGCCCACCTCCTACCTCATCCTGTGGCTTAGAATGCCTAATTTCCTGGGAATGCAGCCCAATAGGTCTCAGCCTTATTTTACCCAGCCCCTATTCAAGATGGAGTCACTCTGGTTCAAATGGCTCTAACAGTTTGAGTAAGAATTTAAGGAAATTGTAATCCAATATTTTCAGATGTTTCTTCCCACCTCATACTT
The DNA here is from genome assembly GCF_000001405.40 of Homo sapiens. Lineage (NCBI taxonomy): Eukaryota > Metazoa > Chordata > Mammalia > Primates > Hominidae > Homo > Homo sapiens. Next base: position 101,014,682 of record NC_000011.10, on the reverse strand, counting down.
ATCAGTTAATGTTATATTTCCTATAGGATTACTGTTACATGTATAACAAGGCTCAGATACTTTTGAGGCTTTATACATCAGAAATAAAAACAAAATAGGTATTAAGTCTTACAATGAAATAGAAAGTGTAATCCAGCTTAGGTCCCTAAATCATGTCTATGGACTCTTACACTATTAACTTAGAATGCCTTTTTCACTTTTTTCAAACTACAGCTGAACTATTAATAATTCCTTGTAAACTTAAATTTACAAGAAAAAAACAATCCCATCAAAAAAGTGGGTGAAGGATATGAACAGACACTTCTCAAAAGAAGACATTTAGGCAGCAAACAAACATATGAAAAAAAAAGCTCATCATCACTGGTCATTAGAGAAATGCAAATCAAAACCACAATGAGATACATTCTCATGCCAGTCAGAATGGCGATTATTAAAAAGTTAGAAAACAACAGATGCTGGTGAGGCTGTGGAGAAATAGGAACGCTTTTACACTGTTGGTTGGAGTGTAAATTAGTTCAACCATTGTGGAAAACAGTGTGGCGGTTCCTCAAGGATCTAGAACCAGAAACACCATTTGACCCAGCAATGCCATTACTGGGTATATACCCAAAAGATTGTAAATCATGCTACTATAAAGACACATGCACACATATGTTTATTTCTGCACTATTTACAATAGCAAAGACTTGGAACCAACCCAAATGTCCATCAATGAGAGACTGGATAAAGAAAATGTGGTACATATACACCATGGAATACTATGCAGCCATAAAAAAGGATGAGTTCATGTCCTTTGCAGGGACATGGATGAAACTGGAAGCCATCATTCTCAGCAAACTAACACAGGAACAGAAAACCAAACACCACATGTTCTCACTCATAAGTGGGAGTTGAACAATGAGAACACATGGACACAGTGAGGGTGACATCACACACCAGGGCCTGTTGGGAGTGGAAGCAAGAGGAGGGAGAACATTAGGACAAACACCTAATGCATAAGGGGCTTAAGACCTAGATGACAGGTTGATAGGTGCAGCATACCACCATGGCACATGTATACCAATGTCACAAACCTGCATGTTCTGCACATGTATCCCAGAAGTTAAAGTAAAATACAAAATAATAATAATTCCATGTATTTGTAATGATCTCCAGCATTTGAAAATATTCTACATAGACCATTTCATATGCATTATCTCATCTGGAAAAGCATCCCTGATAGAAAATAGGCATTTATTACCACTGCATTTTTGAGGAGGAGAAAATGAAGCTCAGAGGTATTACATTCGTCAAAGGGTAACTGGCTGAGCTAGGGAAGGAAACGTGGTCTCAGCCACTCCCCTGGCCCATTTCCCCCCCTCTCTTTAGCCCTACATTTGCTTGTTGGATTAGTCTTGACTCTTCCTCTTTAGGTCAGTTTGGAAAACAATAATTATCTGAACTGTTCTGGAGACACTGGCTGCCAGTTAGGCTGCCTATTACAGAACGTTAATGGCTATTGTTTCATATAATTTTTAAAAATACATAAAAACCTTTGAAGAAGTATATCTAATAGTGTTTTCTTTGCCCATTAAAGTTTTGAAATCTGATATTTGAAGCCATTTATTCATCATTGCTATTCTATGCAGCACTGCTACCAATATCTCATTTAGTGGTTTTTAATCCTGCACCTGAGAATGTACAGCTATTGAGCTTATATTTTTTAGCCAAATCACTTGATACAACCAAGAGACTTAGCATACTATTCATGTAGTTCCAGTATCATAATGAACATGAAAATTATCAAGTCTTGGTACAAACTCTATCCCTTACCTAGGGCTAAAAGAAGAAGCAACGAGAAGCTATAACTTCCCAATAGAGTTTTACTAGTTCTGAAAAATAAATAAAGGGCTTTTAAGAATTTGTACTTTTTCGTTATTGCAGTTCCTTACATTGTTTCTACACCTGTAACATTTGGACAACATCTATTTTTCAGGGGTCAGATAGGGAACAAATAATACTATCAGCTGCTATTGACTCAGGACTATTTCATGTAATACTAATTATCTATGAGATATCATATTATATCCGCATGTTACAGATTAGAAAACTGACATTTAAAACAATCCAGATTTTAATCCAGAAAGCACAATTCTGAGTTTAACCACTACTCTATATGCCCCTGTAAAATAATCTAATGCCATATGGCAAAACTCTCAATTCAGGGTGACTCTTAGAAAATGAAAAATATTCAAGCAGGAGAAGTCCATGGAAAGGTAAAGCCATAAAGTTCTTTATAGATACAGAAAATATAATAAAGGTTTTTTCTGTTATTTCTATTCTTTTCTTTTTTAGTTGCAGCCTTTCTCCTATTGTTGTTGTATGAGGAAAAAGACAAGCGGCTTATACACAGACCTTCTTGAGTCAAAAGGCTCCCAGAAATCTACCACCTGAAATGAAATTACCAAAGGAGAACAACTGGCATAGGGTCTAGGACAGTCAGAACCTAATAGGGCTGATTCCTCCTCTTTGCGGTAGCTGCTTTCTAGCCCATAACTGCTCTAATCCTACTCCAAAACAAGCAGTTCCGGACCATGACGAATTTGGACTCAGAGGTTGATGCTAATAGATTTAGTTGATGTTTCAAGAAGCATTTGCCAAGTTCCACCTCAGCATAAGGATGTGGCCTCTCTGCTACAACAAAGCAGCAGCGGAGAAAACTCTCACGGCCCATGGATGATGCTCCAAAACTAAAAACAGAGATTACAGTCAAAGGGTTCTGTTAATAAGATTTAGATGAAGTGAATTTCACATTGATACCAGCAGATCCTAAATCTGAGGATCTCAGACTAAGCACTCGATAAAAAATTCAAGTTTTGTTTCTAATGCCCAAATGAGTCTATTTTAGAAGACCTCTTTTAAATATTCAGGTTCTTGGCCATTTCCCGGTCACATCCATTCTTCCCTTCTCCACACATGAAGCCAATATTTCCCCTGCTCACTCATTGTTCCAACAAAATAATGCAACTTCCTCTCAACACCTTTAAATTCTGCTGAGCGCTCCTGGTTGTTTAGCAGCTGTCTGTGTTCAAGACTCTGCCAGGAAGAAAGTTTGTGGATTTGTATGATTTTTTTTAATGGATTCTGTTTACTTCTGTGGTAAATGAGGCAGATATATTGATGACAAGGGCCTCAGATATTTGTAACAGTTTCCTCATTCAAGAGGACCCATTCCTCAGCCAAACGAAACAAAAAGGAAAACACAAAAAAAGAAAAATTAATCACTATCACCACTCCCCATAAAATTCACTGGAACCCAAAGATCATAAACTGGTAGTCCACTGGCTACATCCAGAATCATGTTGGATCCAACAAGTCTTTTAACATTCTGAAATATTTGCTGACATTTTTAAAGCAAGGGAGACACATGAACACCCAGATTTCTATCATCTCTTTAAAAATGGGAAAATCTAAGCCTAGATTTTTGTATGACAACAATCAGTTGGAGCTTAATAGGTCTGTGCCTTTTCAGGTCTAGCACTGCACAACTCATCACGGCTTCACTTGGCCCTCTTCACACATTTGTATTACCTGACTAACCCAGTAGGCATTCCAAGTGTGGGACCCCTGCTGACTCACGTTGCCTTGGCTACAACGCTGTCTGATGCTTCTATCTTTCAACTCATCAATTTTGCTGGGAAGTAAAGTTGTGGGAAAATAAGTGCATTGTTTTATAAAAAGCTTTATAACAAACAGATAGATATTTATCTCTATTTTCTGACGGGGAAACCGAGGCTTGCAGGTGTGAGACCTGGTTAGGTCTGTGGCTAAAAACTGTTAGATATTTATCTCTATTTTCTGATGGGGAGACTGAGGCTTGCAGCCTTGAGACCTAGTTAGCTCTATGGCTTAACCAGGATTCCAATCCAAGTCAGGTTTCCTGACTCTTAAGACCAGCCCTGTTTGCATTAAACTCTAATTCCTATTGACCAGTGAAGCAATAAGAACAAAATGTCCACAGGAATAAGCACCTATCCTGGAATACAATTCATATTCAGAAATTCATAAATTGAAATGTTATATAAAGATAATGAGAAATGTATGCCTTCCCTGATAAGAAATGAATCCAGGCTTTACACAACTGCAGAGAGCAACAGTGGACTGGGAGCTGGGAGGAAGGATTCCAGACCCAACTGTGACATTCACTGGTGTTGTGACTTGAAAAGGTCTCTTGTTCATTTGGAGCCTCCATGTGTGTTTGACATTTTATAACAGTCTCTGGCTCCGTGGCTGCATCTCCTGTTTAGGGGCCTCCTGCAGGGCCCTTCATCTCTGTCACTGTTTCCCCTAAGTGTTCTCTTTCTTCTTCCTCGTTCTTACTGTCCCCCAAGTCTACTTTTTCTTAATTCAGTGTTTTCCTTTGACTTTCCACCCACAGTCCCATCTTGTCCATCTGAAGCAGACTAGCCTTCTGCAAAGTATTTGTAGATAGGTACAGAGAAAGCATTTATTACATAGAATGCACTGTATCTAGATGAACTGTGTTGCTATAGGCCATTTGCTATAATGAATAGCTTTTTAAACAGATATATTCTCATGGAATTATGAACAAAACTATCACACAACATATTAAGATTAAACATTTTTTAAATCTGTGATTTCAAACAGTGAACATATAAATGGGGTGCAACACGACCCAGTGGAGGTCTAAAATGTGTACATTTATAAATCATATACTAATGAGTCACATCTCACAAACATAGTTTTATATCAGAGTTCTGGTTCCTTGAAAGACAGGTGAAATTAGCAGTACTCAGTCACCACATATGTTAAGTGTGGCATTTCTCTGATGATTGATATTTTTTGGTTCTGCAAACGGTTTGGTTTAATAAAGTGAGGAGGAAGCAAGGTATTTCATTTGGCTAACTATAAAAGAAACACTATTACAGAACTTAACCAAACAAGGGTTCTTCCTCACAAAACAAGCAATTTGGAGTTAGCCAGTCCAGATTCTGTGATGATATCAATGTTCCAAGATCCTTCTTGCTTTCATTTTGTGGCCACAGAATGGTACCTCTACCCTCAGCTTTTCATCCCTTTTACAGGCAGGAATAATAAAAGGGAAGTCACAAAAAATGGGTGGGGTAGCACTTATTACAAGAAAACAAAACTTTCCCAGTAACTTCCCTTTTAGGACTTTCACTTACATCTCACTAGCAGGAACTGTATCAGATTGGCCCCATATTGCAAAGGAGGCTATCTGAGAAATAAAGGGCAAATAGTTGCCCTAAACAAAATCTAAGTTTCCTTTAAGGAAGGAGGGAGGATGAGATTTTGAGTAGGCAATTTATATAGAGCTCCTGCCCTGGATAGAGCTCCTTCCCTGGGCCCATAGTATGTGGCTGTGTGGAACTCACAGTCTAGTAGAACACAAATAGATCATGAATAGATGCAAACCAGGTATTCTACACTTCAGTGGAATGACAGTGCAGGGGGCTATGCAGACTCTTGAAGGGGAGAAGATTCAGGGTCCAGTTCCTGAATTTAACACCCACTGAAGTCATGTATACTCACCAAAAGGACACAGTTCCTCCTTACCTGTGAGATTATACTTGCTAGCAACTAACTCCCCCAGGCTAAGCCACCAATCACACCTACTTCCAAGCAATCCCCTTGACAGCTATCTTGGCTTTATGTAAAGCTCTCAGGAAAGCCCCTCGGTTTATGGCCCTTGCATCCCTTTTTGTAGACATCCCTGCTTCCAAGAGCATGATTTACGTAAATCAAATGTACTACAGAAAACAGGGATTGTAAATATAATAGAAGTTTCTTTTTCATATAACAAGCAGATGGTCTAGAAGTATGGCAGTTCTGCTCCATGAAATCATTCAGGGAACCAGACTTCTAGTTTGTTGCTTTAGCAAATCTACAGAATGCACCTGTCTTTGTGGTATGAAATCATTCATCTTCCAAGCAGCAGGATGGAGCATACTTGTATTCTATCTCCAACAACCAAAAAGGAAGTTTGTACATGTTTATTCTCTTAACTCATTTGTTGGAACTTATTCACATGGCCCCATTTAACACCAAAGGAGACTAAGAAATGTAACCATTATTCTGAGCTGCTATGTCTCCAGCTAAAAATCAAAGTTTCTATTACTGAGAGAGAAAAAGAAAACATTGAGAACACCATCAAATAACCAATTCTCTACCACACCCAGCTACAGAGCAGAAGAGCTTAGGAACTTCCAATGCTGTGGCCCCCCACAATTACTGTTTCAGTTATTTGTTGCTATGTAACAAACCATGCTAAAATTTGGTGGCTTAAAACAACTTATTTATTTTTTATTTGAGACGGAGTTTTGTTCTTGTTGCCCAGGCTCGAGCGCAATGGCGCTATCTCAGCTCACTGCAACCTCCACCTCCCAGGTTCAAATGATTCTCCTGCCTCAGCCTCACGAGTAGCTGGGATTACAGGTGCACGCCACCATGCCCAGCTAATTTTTTCTTTGTATTTTTAGTAGAGACGGTTTTTCACCATGTTGGCCATAATTTTATGTGTTAGGAATTTGAGAAGGCTCAGCTAAGCAGTTCTGTCCCATGTGAGTTGTATGGAGTCATGCCTTCAGCTGACTTCTGGGCTGGATTGGAAGATTCAAGATGGTGTCATTCACATGTCTGACACTTTGGTGCTCTACCATGTGGCCTCTCTCCTTCCCTTGCATGGCTTCTCATTATTGATTAGACCAGTCTAAGCATCTTTACAGCATGCAGAATGGCTTCTCCAAACTTCAAAACTCTTAAAGACTAGGACAAGAGCTAACGCATTTTCACTACATTCTGTTAGTCAAGAATGACTAAGGCAAGTCATAATGCCAACCTGGATTCAGGAGGAGGGTTAATTGCTCCAATTCTTCATGGGTGGAGAGGCATACACATACAGGGAGAAAAGGAATTGATAGTGAATACTGTCTGCCACTTCTTGAAGACTGCCTACCACACTTACCAGGCTTAATCTAGAATTTTTATTCTTTCTGCCTCTCCTACTCCTACCCACAATTGTAACAGGCAAAGTAGAGGCAAGTTGATCTGCAGGCATTCTCCACTATGTTCATTATTCAAGTTTCATAATTACTAAGAAAATTCAACTCAAAGCTTCCATTTTAAGAGGCATTTTGTTAAGGTAATATTGCTCTCTTAAACAGACTTCATAGTTATGTATTTATTTTTAACATACATTAGGAAAAAATAGCCAGCATATCAAAACCATATTTTATAAATATTGCTATGACAAAACTAAAAATGAGTAGCAGTCCTAGATTTTAGTTGACTGTTTTAAGCAAATAGTATAAAGGTTGTATCTGGACATAGCAAAAATTGTATAGGTGATACATAACACCTGAAATTGCGAAACATTGGTTTAGTGAAAAGAGTATGGAAGTTGCCTTAAAATTACCTGAGTGCAAAATCCCAGCTCTACCACATACTAGCCATGTGACCTTAGGTAATCATTAAACAGCTACAAGTCTTCATGGCCATACCTTAATGAGATGATTATATTTCCTATCTTGCAAGACTTGGAGAAAGACTTTAAAAGTGAACATATATGAATTTTAACTTGTAAAATTAAAACACTACATAAATTTAGGGGTTTCTACATAAAATAAAAAATATTTACCTACTGTGTCTTAGTCTTGGGCAGGAAGAAAATGGAACTACCTACTTGGAGAAATAAGCACATCAAACTTCCGCAAGGTATCACATCCCCTGGGGACATGATGTATCTCTCAGCAGCCAGAGGCTAGTGTGGTCTGCTTGTCTGTCCTAACCCATTCAGGAAAGCCACAATTGCTGCAGCAATAAAAATAAGGGAGGAGGTGTTCAAAACCAGTTGGAGAAGAAAGAGTTATCTTGACCAGCTGGGATAATCTTTGTTTCAATTTTACCATCAGTTTGGTACTATCATTGTTTAATCAATGGGATTTGCCTCTCGTTTCCTCAAAAAACACATACACACAAACACACACACACACTCATTCATCTTCTCTTTGCTGATCCTAGTTCTATCTCTTCCTTCAAGACTCAGCTAAAATCCCACCACTTGAGAATAAAAAACAGGTAATTATATTGAATATATTTTTTAAATGTTTAATTGGACTGAATTTATTGAAAGCATCTAAATCAAATTGTCTTTGAGAAAGCAAGACAGAGACTTAAGGTTTGAACTTAAACATAGCTCTGGAAATTAAGAATACTGCATCTTTTGTATACTTGTTGCTTATAAACTGTTTAAACTATAAAATACTGGCTGGGCAGAGGGGCTCATCCCCATAAGCCCAGCACTGTGGGAGGCTGAGGTGGGAAAATTGCTTGAGCCCAAGAGTTCAAGACCATCCCAGGCAACATTGTGAGATCCCATGTCTACTAAAAGTTTAAATGGTGGTGTGCGCCTGTAGTCCCAGCTACTCAGAAGGCTGAAGTGAGTGGATAGCTTGAGCCAAGGAGGTTGAGGTGGTAGTGAGCCATGATTGTACCCCTGAACTCCAACCTGGGCAACAAAGTGAGACCTTATTTCAAAACCAAAACAAAACAAACAAAAAATATATATATATGTTGCATATATATATGTAAAAATACATATATGTGTTACACATTTTTGAATTTATGTCTTTATACTAGTGCTTATATTTTTGTAATACACGTTCCCCAAAATTGGATTAATGCGGTCCAGTATTCCAATTATGAGCATTTTTAATTTATTAAATTTTGTTAAATATTTTAGATCAAAATGTTGAAGTAATTTACACATAATTCACATTTCCCTGCCACCTCCACAGAACTAGATGTCATCACTATAGTCCTGGTAATCATCCAGGTGAAAAATGGTATTGTCATTTTAATTTGCATTTTCATTAGTGAACCTAAAATCTGTTTGAATGTTATGTATATTTCCTGTCCTTTAAATGGATCCTCGGTGTCTCTTGGCTTTATTTTCATTATGTTATTTTTCCTGTTAATTTAAAAGAGTGTTTTGTATATTAAGGATATCATCTCGGTCTCTTATAAGTGTTAACAAATACTTTTTTCCATTCTAAAACATATCTCTCCTTTATGACATAATTTTTTATATTAACTTTACAATTTTTATGTCATTGTCTTTTTTAATTTTTAGTTTCTTGCTTAAGACTCTCTCCTTTATACAAATGAACTCTTAATACTTCTTCTAATTCTGTTATTTTAATAGTAAAGATTTTTTAAATTCTATTTTTGCATAATGGGGTCTAATTTTGTGTTCATGTTTATTGCCAATTATTAAATTAACTAAAGTTTATTAAAATTAAATTAAATGTATTATTTATTAAATAAAATTTAATTAAATGTGGTATTAAAATCTAATTACATAAACTAAATGTATTTATTAAAAAGTAATTTAATAAACTTTGGTTAATAATTGGCAATAAATGTAAAAGAACACAAAATTAGACCCCGTTCATACTTTATGCAAAAACAATTTAATTTTGAATTATTAAATTTCATTGTTACATTTTTTCTGCATATAGTTGAATATGCTTTCTTTTCTAACTAAATTTTTGTTTAATGCCAATACTGTACTGTTTTAATTTCTGTAATTTTAAATTATATTAATAATCATACAGTACAAGTATTGCCATTACTCTTCTTCCTCAAAAATGGTCTTGATCCATTTCCAACACGTTCGTCTTTCTTTTTTTTTTTTTAAAACGAAGTCTTGCTCTGTTACCCAAACTGGAGTGTGGTGGCGCAATCTCAGCTCACTGCAACCTCCGCCTCCTGGGTTGAAGCGATTCTCCTGCCTTAGCCACTGGAGTAGCTGGGATTACAGGCGCCCACCACTACGCCCGGCTAATTTTTTTGTATTTTTAGAAGAGGCAGGGTTTCACCATGTTGGCCAGGCTGATTGTGAATTCCTGACCTCAAGTGATCCGCCTGCCTCGGTCTCCCAAAGTGCTGGGATTACAGGTGTAAGCCTGGCCTGTTGATACGTTCTTATTAACTAAAGTCCATACTTTCTTTGAATGTTTTTAGTTTTTATCAAATGTCCTTTTTCTGCATCCGGATCCCATCTAGAATACCACATTACATTTAGTTGTCACGTCTCCTTAGGCTCCTCTTGGCTGTTCTTTTTGAGGAGTGCTGGTTAGGTACTTTATATAGAATGTCCCTCAGTTGGGATTTGTCTGATATTTTTCTCATAATTAGACTGGGGTTTTATCTTGGGAGGAAGTAAAGTATCATTTTCACCAGAACATATGAAGGGTATATCGTATCATTATGACTTTCTTGATATTGACGTTGATCACCTGGCTGAGGTGGTATATGTCAGATTTCTCCATGGTGGTACTCTTTCTACCTCCAATTCCATCTTTTCACGTTTCCATGTTTTACACAATTCCATTTTTTAAAATGTTTATTTTAAAATTATATTGATAATTTCCTTATTTTAAGTTTTTGAGGTTTGTTGAGGAAGAAGTGGGTCATAATTCTACTTTGCTGTTTCTGCTGAACAGTAGCATGGTGTTATGCAGATAAAAAGAAGTATATAAAAATTTTTAAAATTTTACCTATACACCCTACTAAATTTTCTTATCAATTCCAGTAGGCTGTTTTGTTTGTTTTCAGTAGACTGTGTTGGCTTCCTAGGTACATAATCATACCTTCTTAAAATAAAGATAATTTTATCTATTTTTAGGGAAGACACATACCAATTATTTCATTTTCTTATCTTACCACATTTGTAAAAACTTTCTAGTCTTGATTAATAGCGAAGATAGCTAGTAATCTTGTCTGATTTCTAATTTAACAGAAAAAGGCTCTGATATTTTGATGATTTGAAATAACAGTCTTTGCATGTGTGTCATTTACCAATTTATTGCCTTCAGTTCCAAAGACATCCTTTTTTGTCCACTTCATGACACTGGAGCTGGACCCTGAAAACATTTCTCCTTTGCCAGCTGGTGTGACATTACACATTTTGGTCGATAGAGGGTAGAGAAGGGACGAGATCAGATATACTTGGCCCAGTGGCACTCACCTAAGCAGTCCTGGCAAACCAGCTGTCACCCTGTAATTTTCCCGACACAAATGGTCAGCCCCAACTCATACCCTCTAGGAAGTTTTAGGCAACCAGTATGCTGTGTATCTTGTGGTAGTTGTGCCCTCTCCAATAAGGTGTGTATGTCGGCCCTCAAGGGGTTCATTAAGTTACTAGTCCCCTGGTCCTTTCCCTTTGCCCTAGGATAGCATCTGCTTTCTGCATTGCTATTTCTGTGTTCCTTAGAATTCTCTGTTAAGGGCTGAGCACAGCGGCTCACACCTGTAATCCCAACACTTCAGGAGGCTGAGGTGGGCAGATCACCTGAGGTCAGGGATTCAAGGCCAGCCCGGCCAACATGGTGAAGCCCTGTCTCTACTGAAAATACAAAAATTAGCCGGGTGTGGTGGCATGCACCTGTAGTCACAGCTATTTGGGAGGCTGAGGCAGGAGAACTGCTTGAACCCGGGAGGCAGAGGTTGCAGTGAGCCGAGATCATGCTACTGCAACTCTGCCTGGGCAACAGACTGAGACTCTGTCTCAAAAAATATATACATATATATATGTGTGTGTATATATGTAAATATATGTATATAAATTCTGTTAAGCTCTTTAGTAGTTGATCACCTTTTACTAGTTAATAAACCTTTATATTAATTTTAACCTGTTCTAATTACTGGTGTGATTTCTGTCTTCCAGCTGGACAGTGACTGATGCACCATGTTTAAGTATTTAAGGATGACCTCCTTACTCCTATTTTACTTAGAGTTATTTTAGCACTGGCCACCAATCAAACAAAAGCCCGAGAAGCAGGTACAATAGACAGAATAATGGCCTCCTAAAGATGTTCACCACCTAATCCCTGGAGTCTGTGACTATATTACCTTACATGGCAAAAGGTATAAAGCAGATAGGATTAAAGATCCTGAGATGGAAAGATTATATTTGACCATCCAAATGAACCCTATATAATCACAAGGGGTCTTTATAAGAGCCAGAAAGGTGTATGAGAGTAGGAGGTGTGATGACAAAGCAGAGGGTAGAGTGATTCAAGAAAGGCCATGAGCCAAGGAACGCAGGTGGCCCCCAGAAGCAGGGACAAGGCAAGGAAACACATTCACTCCTTAGAGCTTCCAGAAGGAAGGCAACCCCACCCGCACTTTGATTTTAAGACTTTGATCTCCAGAACTTTAAGTTCATAAATCCGTATTGTTTTAAGCTATTACGTTTATAGCAACTTGTTACACCAGCATCAGGAATTAATACAGATTTTCGGTACCTGGAAGTGAAGTTCTGCTGCGACAAATACCTAAAAGTGTGAATGTTGCTTTGGAATTGGACAGTGGGCACAGAGTGGAAAAATTTTAAGGAACACAAGAAAAAGGCTTATATAAACTTGATCAGCCTGTTAATCGAAATATGGATGTTAAAGGTTCTGCTGCCAAGGGTTCTGAAAGAGGTGGGGGGCACGTTAGAGAAAATGTATGTTGTTGTAGAGAATACCTCAATCTTCATTAACATAATGTTAGTAGAATTATAAACATTAAAGTGCTGCTGGTGAGGGCTCAGGAGGAAATGAGGAACTTGCTCCTGGAAACTAGAGGAAAGGGAATTCTCATTATATAGTGGCAGAAAACTTGGCAGAATTGTGTCACGCCGTTAATTGGACAGCAGAACTTGTAAGCAATGAGCTTGAATATTTGTCTGAGATTTCCTAGCAAAGTGTTCAAAGTGCACCCTCATTTCTTTTGGCTACTTATAGTAAAATGCGAAAGAAAGGAATAGATGGAGAGAAGCAGATAAAGTGACAGAGGCAGGGGTCATGATCAGACGGAGGTCTGAAGATGCTATGCTGCTGGCTTGGCGATGGAGGAAGCGGCGGTCGTCACAGAACATGGGCAGCCTCTAGAAGCTGAAAAAGGCAAAGAAACAGATACTCTTCCAGAATCTTGAAAAGAATACAGCCCTCAGATATCTGTGAGGTACTGAGGAAAGATCAGCAACGCAGGCACTGGGGAAGTATCGAAGCTGAAAGCAGCAGCTGAGAGTAAGTGGTGTAAGTGAGTGGCTGGAATCGGTTGGTAAACTTGGTGATGTGGACTGACCCGGCCTGAGCCATTCCTCTTTCTGGTAGCTCTGCAGAGCACTAGCAGCGATGCTTAGAGATTCATTGCTTAATTCCTCCCATAGAATCAAGGGTTTTTTACCTGGGTTCTGAGGATGGACTTTAGGCGAGGGGTCTGTAAAATGCAAAAAGAAATAAGCATCTTGATTTTAGTCCCATGAAACTAATTTCAAGCTTCTGGACTCCGCAACTGTAAGATACCAAACCTGTGTTGTTTGCAGCTACTGTTTGTGGTGATTTTTTACAGCAGTAATAGAAAACTAATACACTTGGCAAATACCATCTCATGGAATTCCCGTAATAACCTTCTGAGGAAGGTACCATGTTTATATTCAATTTACACAAGGGGAATTAGGCACAGAGGTTAAGTAACTTGCCCAAGGTCACATGGCTAGTAAGTGGCAGAGCTGGGATATGAACCCAGAGCCTCTAATTCTAGAGCTTGCATCCTTAAATGAGGCACTTTAGAAACCTACCCAGGAGGGGGGTCTGCAGCAGGTAAGACTTACCTCGAGTAGCAGGAAAGGCTGGGCAAAGCTTGGCAGCTTAACTTACTCTACAATCCCATAGCTTTGTGTCGTGCAATACCCAACATTCCTTGGCTAGAGCGAAGACAGGCCTGCCCCTGAAGTCCTTGAAAGGCCCAGGATGGAGGAGAGGATGATGGGGCCCTCTTGATGTGCAATAGCCAGAAAAAATCCTTTCTGGCAGATGGATTTCTTGGGTTCACAAAGCAGAAGAAAAACAATCTGCTCGGCCTCTAGGCCACAACCCCGACCCAGAGAGTGGTCTGAGAAGTAGGGTATAAATACTCTGCAATCCCACGGGCTCTCCCAGCACAAATTTCCACATGATAAGTATTGTGGTCTCATTGGGTACTCCCTCATCACAAGAATAGGCACCATCTGTAGGCTAGCCTGAACTTCTAAGCTGAGTCCGCCGAGCCTCATTGCTTTCTCAGCCAGATATTGGAAGGATTAAGTTGTCCCCAAGTTAAACTCCACTCCCACTTTCCACAGAGTGGATACTTGCTTCTGAAAGACATTCCGGCCACAGCCTCTAGCCACTCTGTATGCAGCAGCCATTTAGTACTTCTTAGTGTGGCGAGCAGGTGGGTCAAACGTGGAGTTGCTTTTTGAGAACTGATCAAAACTGTGGAACCTTCTCTGGAAAGAAATATGCATATAGAGACTCAAAGCACCTAGTATTTAATGCAGGGAATTCACAGACCTCCCTAAAGTCCGTCTTTGGAACCCAAGTTAAAACCCCTGATTTTATGAAAGGAATTAAGCAATTAATCTCTAAGCATTGCTGCCTGTGCTCTCCAGAGCTACTAAAAAGAGGAATAGCTCTGGCCAGGTCAGCCCACATCACCAAACTTACTAATTCTAACCACTCACTGTGCCCCCTTCCTTTTCTTCAGCTGCCTTTCTCAGCTGTGATAACTTCTTCACTGCATGCATTACTGATCCTTCCTTAGCACACTTATAGACATCTGAGCCACATTTGAATCCCCTAAATTAACCATTCAGAACAGTGGCCATGTCATGTCACCTTGACCTTTGAAATGAGTCATTTTCTTGTACTGGCTTTGTTCATTTCTTGGGTCAGTGCAACATTGCCTCCTCAGCCTTCCTACAGTGCCCAAAACACACTCACCCTCACACCCATCCCCCATCCAGTGTTCTTAAAGGTAAATCTGATGGCATCATTCTCCCCTCTAAACTCTCCCCGCCTTCTCAGACTGGCCCTCATGCTACCAGTGTGCTCATTTTTACCTCATCCTACCTGCCACACTCACAGGCCAACATGCTTGAGCAAGCAGCCAAACCCCTGGCCACTCAGAATTAATTTAATCCATCAGAAACTCTGTTGAAGTCTCTGGGCCTTTGCTGCCTTCGTTTTCTGTTGGTGTTCTGTCCTTCAGGGTCTAGTTAGGATGGTTCCTTTTGTGTGTGAAGCCTTCTCTAATCCTCTCTTTCTTTCCTCTCTAAACTTGGGTTACTGTGTGCCCCTTTTATACTTTGTGCCTCTATCATACTTACCTCATTTGTACTGTGAGTTTAAAAAAAATTACTGATACATAGATGTACATATTTTCAGGGTACATGTGATATTTTGACATATTCATATAATGTGTAATGATCAAATCAGGGGAAACATTTATTAATATTTTTTATGCTGGGAAGAGTCTCTTCTAGCTGGGATGATTCTCTTCTAGCTATTTGAAAAATAAAATAGGTTATTGTTAACTGTAGTCATCCTAAAAGAGGTTAATAGGTACAAAAATACATGTACTGTGGTCTTTAACTTACATATCTGTCTCCCTCATTGAGCTATGGACTTTTCAGGAAGAAAAACCATGTCTAATTCTTTTAAGTTATTAACAACCAGAACAGTGTTTGGCACTATGTTGGTTGAAAGAGTAAATGCAGCTCATCCCAACTCTTCCTTCACCCACTCTATCGCCTCCCTCTCCCCAACCCCTCTAGTAGCCTCTTCCCTTGTGTAATGTGGAATCCCACCTGTCTTGGGGTGGGATTGCTCCTTTTGGCTTTGGGGTCTTACTCCTTTTGGCCTTTCACTTCTGCCAAAATTTGGTTGGCTGATAACACCATCCACCCAGGTAAAATCATCCACACTTCTTTCTTTGTATCCTCTTATCTTTTCCATCATTTCTGCTATTTCCCAGGTTCAGAATAGTGCCCTATCTCAGGCTCTTAAACACCCAATGCTTAATCTTTTTAGCATTTTATAGTATTATATTTTATTGATCTGTACGTTACCCCAATAAACCATGGATCTCTTGAAAAGAGGAAATATATCTAAGTTTCTCAGGATCTCCAATGACTTGAATAGGTCCTGCACAATAATTTTCATGCGTTCAGATGCCTACTGAATTTTTCTACTCTGTGAAATTTTGACAAGCGGTCATCTAGACCCACTCAAACACTGCCTGTGATTGAAAGCTGTTTCCTGAGTTCCGTTTGTGGAAGACTTGGCAATATAATTATGTTTTTGAACCTAAATCTCAATTGTTGTGACTTCTCCCAGTGATCTTTGGCTTTTGGAGTAGTTGGACATATCTTGCCCTCAAACATCTCAAAATTGCCCTCAGGTAGCCCCAAAGAACTCGTTCATAGTTCTGCTAAACCTGTGCTTCTTAAACCTCATCGTTTATAGATATCATCTGGGGAGCTTGTTAACATGCAGATTCTGATTCAGAAGTTCTGAGATTCTGCAACTAAACAGCTTTTAAGAGGTCGAAAGGTCACTCGTTGAGTAATGACGCTCAGGTCTAACACTTATTCACACGATAAGGCGCTCACCATCTTCATCTTTCTTCTGGAGAAGGTCGAGTTTGCCAAATACCTCTTTCAAGTCTGGTAGCCAAAGCTTACCATACTCCACTTGGTGTAGTAAAGAGGTGGTTCAATGAAAAGAGTACTGGGTTTCAAGCCAGAATATCTGGGTTTGAGTCTAACCTCTACCATATACCAATGATATGATAATGAATAAGCCAGATAAATTCACCTGTCAGAGCCTTAGTTTTCTTTCCTGGAAAAATAAAAAGAGCAGAGGAGACATCCAGTGACGGTATCTGGTAGTTGGGAGGACTGGAGTTTGCTGTGACACAGTGCATGGGAAACACTTGATTAATGGCTATGTATCATATACACTGGAGCCATTATTTAATTTCTTTCAACGAAGCTTAAAAATTTCACTTGTTCTGTTAGCATTTGCATCAGAAAGCTGCACACTCAAACCCCTAAGTCTTTAAAAATAATTGTTATCCAGTAACACCTACTAGTTGCAAGGCACCGGGCTAGACCTTTCATACCTGTTTTCTGAAATTTTTATATATCTCCTCCTCGCAAAAAAGTTCTTCATTATAACAGCCAAGGTGAGCTGGGTCTTACTTAACCTTTTGCCTTCCTGTTCTGTGTGTACCCTCCAGGAAAGTTATCCTTTCTCGAAGGATATCCTTTCCAGATAAACTTTTCAAAGATCAAACCCTATGAGAAGCTGCCCTCCCCACACATCCACAAATTGGTAGCAGATTACAGAGGAGATAAGAGCTCACCATTCTGCTGAAACTATGTTAATGTGGTCTTCAGCTTCCTAATTAGCACAATGAGAGGCTTGGACTGAATTATTTGGTAACCTTGCTCTGAAAAGCTCTAAGCGTTCCATGGAGATGCCAGAAGCTGTGGACCTGGCCGGGCACGGTGGCTCACGCCTGTAATCCCAGCACTTTGGGAGGCTGAGGTGGGCGGATCACTTAAGGTCAGGAATTCAAGACCAGCCTGGCCAACATGATGAAACCCCATCTCTACTAAAAATACAAAAATTAGCTGGGTGTGGTGGTGCACACCTGTAAGGGGGTGCTGAGGCATGAGAATCGCTTGAAGCCAGGAGGGGGAGGTTGTAGTGAGCCGAGACTGTGCCACTGCACTCCAGCCTGGGTGACAGAGCGAGACTGTCTCAGAAAAAAAAAAAAAAAAGAAAAAGAAAAAAAAAGCAGCTGTGGACCTGCATGGGTGAAGTGCAGGCCATTCTTCAGCACACATGTAGGCACTGAGGCTAGCAGCTTGACTCATATTTTTAACTGGTTCCAAGTAAGATTTATTCGAAGAAAATGATTCTGTTCCAGTTGCTCCAAAAATACTTTTGAAAGCTATTTGAATTGGGTAATTGCACCCATTCTTTGAAAAAAAAAAAAAAAAGGTCTGTAAATAGGTGATGTGATGAATATAAACATCTATGAGGGTTAGAAATACGTATTTTTGTTTTCCTCCCTCTAGCACAGGCTGATCCAGAGAATGCTTTTCAGCAGACTGGCTCCTGGCATTTGGAAAGGTAGAATATTCCAGATAACTTATTTCTGTCAACAAATGGAGTCTAGCTAAATGCTATGCTTGGCTCATTTGCCCCAAATACCCAGAAACAGCATTTGCAAGCATGTCAACCAGTATTTTGGGGATTTGCATTCCCCAGGGTATCTTATTCGAAAAACTTTCTAATGTTCTTATCTATAACTCATGTTCTTATCTATAGCTCCCCCCCTTTTTCCCCTAATAGCAAGAACTGTCATGTTGGAAACTTGAAAAGAATTTTGTCTTCTCAGTTTTGGGCTATACACAATTTCAAAGTTAACAACACAACTTATTTGGCTCAAAAACTTCAACTGCAAGTTTAATATAGCTTAATTTTCCAAATTTGGAATATTTTTAATGGTTTAGAAAATTGAATTCTTCAACATCACCCCCAAATTATACAGCTCAATCAAGTGTTGCTAGGTCTGGTAATGACAGAAGAAAATCTGTTTAACCTCTGCCCTTAAGACCTGTTCATGTGTGTAAAGGTTTGTTTACACCATTAACATATAAATGGCTCCAGAGTAGATTCATATATTCATGGATGTTGAAGAATGATTTCACTGTTCCTGGGAGAATTGACAGACATAAAAACACAAGCCCACAACCGTATTCTTTAAATTATTAAAGGGTTTACAATGTTTGTTCCTTTGCTAATGAATTTGTTCATTTAATGAAAGGGGCTTACTCTACTGTATTCATGTATGCCCAACTCTGTTCTAAAGCCTGAGATTGACTGATGAATAGGAGATGTATCTTGCACACACAGATCAAAATTTAATGGGGAACAAGTGAAAATGTTTAATTCTTGAAAAAGTCACTTAAATTCCCAAAATGATATAAGTATCCCCAGCTCATGTACTATTTTTTGAGTAGTTTTTGTTACCTTGTTTTTTAAACTATTAACTAAAGTTTAGACCTTATTTGGACACCACCAGCTTATCTTTTATTTATTTATTTATTTATTTATTTATTCATTTATTTATTTTGAGATGGAATTTCACTCGTTTTTGCCCAGGCTGGAGTGCAATGGCACAATCTCGGCTCACTGCAACCTCTGCCTCCATGGTTCAAGAGATTCTCCTGCCTCAGCCTCCTGAGTAACTGGGTTACAGGCATGCACCACCACGCCCGGCTAATTTTGTATTTTTAGTAGAGACGGGGTTTCACCATGTTGGCCAGGCTGGTCTTGAACTCCTGACCTCAGGTGATCCACCCGCCTCGGCCTCCCAAAGTGCTGGGATTACAGGCGCGAGGCACCACGCCCGCTATTATTTTCTCCTTTCTGTTCCAGGATCCAGTCCAGGGTTCCACATTACATTTAGTTGCCCTGTCTCCTAAGTCTCCTCTGATCTGTGACATTTGCTCAGTATTTACCTATTTTTCATGAGCTCAACAGTCTTGAGGAGTACTGGGCTGAGATCTTTTCTGTAGAATGTCCTCAGTCTGGGCTTGTCTGATGTTTTTCTAATGGTTACACTGGAATTATGGGTTTGGGGAAAGAATACCACAGAGGTGAATTGCTCTTCACATCACATATTATGGGGTGTAAGTCAACCACATGATATCACTGATATTAAGTTTTACCACTTGGTTAAGACAGTGGCTACTAGGTTTCTTTTCTATAAAGTTATGACGGTTTTCTATACTCTAAATTTTGGAAATGAGTTACTAAGTCTAGCTCACCTTTAAGCAGGAGAGGATTAAATTCTACCTGCTAGAGGGAAGGGTAACTATAACTCCAATTATGATTTGGAATATTTTTGTAAAGATTTGTCTCTTCTCCCTCATTTTTTTACACAAGTGAAATTTATTGTCATTGATATCCATGTGGATTCATGGATATTCATTTTATACTTTGTTTTATAAGCCAATCATTCAATACTGCATTATTTTGTTGCTCAAATCATTCCGGCTTTGGCCACTGGAAGTTAATTCATTTTTAATTCTAAAATATCAGTTATAGGGGATTCCAGGCCAACAGTCTTAACCAACATTCTTAAACAGTAGCTCATCTAGAATAATCTGTAATATCTAACCTAATAGTCCTTTCCTGCTTAACTATACTGGAGTTAACATTAATCCTTATATCTGAACAGGTGTTGTGTCATGAATTTATCTCTTTTCCTCTGATATCGATGAAAACTACAACCTATGTGAGCAAGCCAGGTTGTCCAATGGTCAACCTGTGAGGCTTAGCTTTGGCAAGGTGATTTGCTGCACTCTAATAATCTATGGAGCAATGCAAAAGAAATACACGATTATCTTTTTTTTTGATGCAGCGAAGCAAAGTTTTACCTAGAAGTCAAGTCATGACCAAGAGGTTCATAAGACTAATAAAAATGGACAGGAGGTATTTGTACGCTGATATTTCTTCCATAGTACACTTGGAAACTTTTATAAACATATATATTTTCAGGTAAGCCTGTATGCTTGTTATATTTAGTATTTTGCATATGGCCCATTTCCCTCTCCCCTCGGTGGATACCTGCATTATTAATAGGTTATCAACATTAACATTTTCCAAAGCTTGCAGAATACCAATTTGTGAGGAGAAGGTCACCAAATTCTGCTATGATTTAGCCATACCAAAGTGATCACTCACAGTACCAGAAACTTTGTTTTTTCTCTACATGAAGCCAAGACAATTGCCCTCCAACACAGTGGGTCTTCAAGTACAAAGACTAAATTAAAATCTGCTTACAAAGTTTATTTTTAAAGTAATTTAAAACACAGTGTAACCATACATTAAAAATATTGTGGCAATTTAGATTAGGAATAAACATGAGGTTATTTACATGTTGGCATATGTATGTGTGTATATATACACAAAGTGCAGATAAATACAGAACACTACAAAATAAACAAAAAATTCAATGATAATTTATGGACAATCACTTTTATATTTATTACTTAATTTGTCATGTTAATGACTGCAAAGAAGCTCCTAGTACTGAAATATAATATCTTAACATCCGACTTTTATATAAACTACAGTACCTCAAATTTTAACAGTATATAAATAGGGTTCTGAATTAAAAACCCAGGTGTCTTCCCTGCCAAATTCCCTATTTGTTAAGGTTTCAGCTCAGAAATCAAGAAGGACTCTGAAAATCCCAACCTTTGATATGTGGTGGTATATTGGATTTTAAGCATCAATCATGTGCAGACAGTGTTCTTAGACCAGTTCCTGTGGGGATCGTTCTCTGCAAAAAGGAGGCAGTTGAGGGTACACGGGCAGATATAAAGCCTCAAAAATGCTGCCATATAGAGATTAAAAGTGTGCATTTTATATATATATATGTATATGCTGCCATATAGAGATTAAAGGTGTGCATTTTTATATAAAATGCATCTTTATATAAAATGCACATTTTTAATTTATAAGACTGAGTAAATTCAAGGCAAAATTGAGTTGTTGTCAACTCTGGATGCAAAAACACCATGGGAAACACTCATGAAAGATGGCAGATGGTCCAAAGGGGAGAAAGGGGTTATCCTACTGAGGAGGTTTTGACACCTTCAGCCCCTGCCTCCTCCAACACTTAAGTTTCCCAAATAGCCGTGTACACAGGCATCTTGAATGGTGGAGAATATTTATGATGGCAGTAAATGAAAATGGTCTCTGGTTTTTGGGACTCTTCAGTAAGCACACAGACTCCATTTCTCCATAGAGCACCAAGAAAAATCCACACTGAACTTGGCATCTCTCTCATGAGTGCCAAGGGGAAAAGGAATGATGGGCTGGGCCCCCTAAACCACAGACACCTTGTAATCATTGGTCTAGGACATGCAGATCAATTTTCTGCCAATGGCTTACTGTGAATGTTGTCAACATTCTTATGTAAGATTCTTTATTTAAAACAGTGAGGGCAGCTGCCCTCAAAAAATAAAAAATCCAATTTATTGATTTGATCCTCTAAAAGTCCACATCATTCATAAACCTGCATTTTCCCAACGTTATTACCAAGTGGAACTGGCACATTTTGAAGCAGGGGGATAACGGTGACAATGAGGGATACAGTGAATGTGTTCAGGAAATTGAGACCAGTTGATGAATACTCGATATTACATCTGCGAATCAACAGGAGACAGGCAGGACACAGAATGTTCAGAAAACTATCTTTGTTTCTTAAAAGTGTCTTGATTTTGGAAGGTAACAAAAAAGGGTAGGAGGCAAAGTTAAATAGCAATGTGTACCCTAAGGGGAAACCTTTAGTCAAGGGGAAAGTAACTTCTGGACAATAGTCAAGCCTGTGTTCTTTTTCGTGACCTGACCAGGAGATGTGATTTCCGGGTCCTACGCAGTGATGTGAGGTCATGCTAACAGCTGTGAGTTACAAATGTATCATAAAAGCAAAGAACAAAATCTGTTCCCTAAATTGGTCTGCCTCTGACTTTAGTCAAAGTATAAGTCTAGTTGGGGTTCTAAATGCTAAAGAAGGCATCCTGAATACATGATTTAAGGTATCACTACAATTTGAAATTGCTTGAGGCAAAGCTCTGAGGGACTCTTCTAAACTGAAACCACATGAATGATACCCTTTTCAACACAGACCAGAAGAACGGTGCTAGGAGTGAGAAGGTGAGCAGGGTACACTGGATGATAGTGAGAAATCTGTTTGCCTCACAACATAGTGAATTTTTATGAAGGATGCCACATTATATAAAGCTAATTATCATCGAATAATAATAAAAGTCATATGTATCTTTATTTTTCCTACTTGGAAACCTAGATAATTTGGGGTTTTAATACATTTTTTTTCCTTCACTATCTCTGAAAAGAGTCAGCAGACAAATCATTGTTGAGAAACCTGGTTGTGTTCATGCAAGTTACAAAGCACAGGGAACCCATGCAACAAGCAAAACCACTCACATCAAACAAGGAGAAACCCACTTCCTCATACTTCGTGAATGTTACAGGAATACACAGATGATTTTACTGTTCAGACATTTACACATAACACAACAGAAAAATCCTTCAGTTGACTAGTTTCCATAAACTTGGTAGCATTACGGCAAAACAAGAGAGTCATCTGTGAAACACACAAATGTTTTGTACTGAGGGATATTTTCACATAACTCAGGAGATAAGGAACTTAAATTTAGACCCCCTCAATCTCATCATCATACTGATTATACCGTAAGCAGTTATTAGGGTGCAGAGGTTGCGTGTTTTGAAGATATGGATGTGGCAATTCTAATGTATCTTCACATTGTTCCTGAAAAGCTAAGGTTTTGTTATTGAACTACTATTAAAAGTTGAATGTGATCCTCTTTCAATGTCTGGCATTGCCTTCCTGTGGAATTAACATTCTGTGTGATTTAGAGTACATGTCCTGACTTTCTCAGTGCTCATAAATACCTTATCTGTAGGAAACTTACTTTAAGGGAAAAGCAGCTTTAGCCCGTCTCCAGTATATGGCCATGACTTGCTTACATTGTAATCCATTATGAAGGAAAAAGAGCCATCCTCACAAATCTAGAAGATTAAAAGTTCAAGCACAAGCACAACTTGAATCAGTGCTTCTGTAGCTTGTTTCAGCAAAGGGACCATAGCCAGTACTGTGGCTGCAACATATGCCTTGCCATCAGATACAATAGTTAGGCTTCCTATCCACATCCTATGCAGTAAAAAAGCTTTAAATCTGAATGGAACATCTGCAGAATTAGCTTACAGACAACTCAGAAGCAGGAACACTTTGGTCCGTGTTCAAATAAAATGAAGGTTGAGATTCTTTATGCAGCAGCAGGAGAAGTAGGATTCTGAATCTCTCTTTGGAGTCAAGTTGGTCTTTGAAAGAAAACCAATTTGCTTTTAAGAGATTCTAGTCTAGCAGGATACCAGATGATGGCAAGTGTGCTTAAACCAAGGGTGCTGTATAGACTAAGGGACTGGTACACTGGAAAACTACCTTCTGTTCCAGCAGAGGGCAATTAGGGTGTCAGCAATGCTGTTATTACTACTAAGGTCACCAAGGACCTCGACCAAGAAGATCCAGCAACACACCTTATTACAGTGCACAGAGGTCAACAGTAAGAGATAAAAGAAAAAGATACTCTTTTATCAAACGTTTACATTACATTGCTAATTTTTATTACATAATATTTTTCATTCTTTTGATTCACTGATATTTATTCCTGATTCTGACTCTGCCTACCGTTATTCTCTCTACTTGTTAATTCTAATCTTATTCTTTTTATTTGTAAAAGCCTAACTTTTCTGAGGCATAGTTGTGTGTGTGTATGTGTATTTAACCTATTAATTCTAGAAACATTAATTTAAAGTAGAAGAGATAGAGATTACAGATAATAATGGCATGTAAAGAGTTTTTTACAGTTAATACCTGAGAGTCTGCACAGTGGGGAACTCTGAAGTAATATGCAAGATGTCAAGAACAAGCAGTTCAGGACTGTGGCACTCAAAGGGCAGGTAACCAGCTTTTCAGGATCTTGAGAAGAAAGGCTCTTTGCCACATACAGATATTACATTTATAGAAATAATATATTAGAATTATTGAAATAGAAATATAGAATTAATGGTTCGTGCATGACCAGATGCTGATATATATAAGTGGACAGTAAATACCTATTACTATGCTCTACAAATTCACTGAAATTGCTAATAAAGACTGTAAACTAAAAGGCATAAAAGAAAATCATGTACAGATTTTATTTCTGCTGAAGATCACAAAACAATTTCAACCTCTGTGGTTCAAAATAATTTAAGGATCTTGTACCTTTGTGTTTATTTTCTGTTTCAACTAAGGATAGACTTCAGAAGGCATAGCTTCCCTTGTAACGTTTTTAAACATCTTTTTCATTTGTAGAAGAACATTTCAAAAGCCCAAATTAAATTATCATTAAAATACTTTGACACTTTACAATCTTCCAAGTGGAATTTAAGTTGTATGCCTTGATACTGTAGTTTTACAGTTTCCCCATCATTGGTAAATATTCTTCTATGATGCCACTATAATGCTACTGGTAGAAAATATGTGCATATAATTTATCAGTATATTTTCATGTAAAATTTTATAAAAATCTCAAAGTTATGAAGATAGTTTTACACACCCTCTAAACTAGGTGTCAGCAAACTATAACCCATAAGCCAAATTCAACCCACCACAAAAATATTTGCTATCAGGCCTTTACAGAAAAAGTTTGCTGAAGGTGTCTGGAATTCTGGACAGATTGTTTACAGTGGAATCAGTGTATGACTTAATTTTGCTTCCTTTATAGATATCATATACATTATTGCTTTTGAATATTATCATCTACTTGGAAAACAAATAAAGTTATATTAAAACAAAGACTTACATCCTTGAAATGTTTAGGACCAGCAAAACAATCATATATAAAAGCAGTATATTTCTAAGAAAAAAAAAACAATAAATGAACAATTTAAATTACATTTTTAAGTAACAATTTCAGAGATCCTCAGAGAATGCCAGGCAGTAAAGGACAGATCTCAAAATCCATATAGCAGATTTCTGGTTTCCAAATTTCTGGGATACAGTATTTAACACAGTATTTGAAACTCTACAATTGCTACGGAAGCGACATTGTGGAGAGTTACATATTATCCAAAAACACATTTTTCACAAGTAAGATATTTTAAAATAAGAAACCAACCAAAAAAGAATGGCCAACAATTTAAATCTTTTTTTCCATTAATAAGGAGCTACATAGTCTGCTGGTGAAGAACTTGATAGAAATTGACTGTTTTCACTTAGTGGGCTGATCCCCGTGTATCTGTGTCAGATAAAATCATAGCATTTATTCGTTACCATGGATACCATGAAGATACTGCCATCCACTAAATAGTATTAGAGGAAGACAACATAATTTTCTGGAACTAGTCCTGTTTTGCCTTCATAAGTTGCCTTTAACCATCCTGGTTCCACTGATGGGTACACTGGCAAAATAAATAAATAAATAGCACTCAGTCAACATTAGTGTCAAATAATTATATAAACAGATGGGTTAAACACCCACATCGGATTGTCAGTCCTCAGTATCTGTGGGGGATTAGTTCCAGGACCCCTTGTGGATACCAGAAACTGTGCATGCTCATGTCCCTGATATAAAATGATGTAATATTTGCATATACCCTAGGGACATCCCCCTGTATGCTTTAAATCATTTCTAGATTATTTGTAATTCCTTTTACAATGTAAATACTATGTAAATAGTTGTTATACTATATATTTTTAAAATTTGTATTATTATTTATCTATTTATTTTCCAACCTTTTTGATCCATGGTTGGTTAAAGTGTGCATGCAAAAATTCTGGAATGTAGAGGGTCCAACTATACACTCAACTCAAACGTCCAAACAAAACAATGTCACAGCCCTCTAAAGTTGGAATGTCCTTTGCATTCACATAGTCAAATAAAACAATCTCTCTGTCTCACACACATGTACAAACAGGTACATACACACAAATGCCTGCAGGAGAGGAATGAATCCAGAGGGAATTTTAAAATGTTTTATTTATTTATAGACAGAGTCTTGCTGTGTTGCCAGGCTGGAGTGCAGTGGTGCCATCTCAGCTCACTGCAACCTCCGCCTCCCTGGTTCAAGCCATTCTCCTGCCTCAGCCTCCAGAGTAGCTAGGACTACAGGTGCACACCACCATGCCCGGGTAATTTTTGTATTTTTAGTAGAGACAGGGTTTCACCATGTTGGCCAAGATGGTCTCAATCTCTTGACCTCATGATCCGCCCGCCTTGGCCTCCCAAAGTGCTGGGATTACAGGCATGAGTCACCGCGCCTGGCCTATTTATTTATTTATTTATTTATTTATTTATTTATTTATTTTGTGGGTTGGGCTGGGCTTACCCTCCTAAGCAGCTGGGACTACAGATGCATGCCACCCAGAGGGATTTGATGTGTTCATGCATGCCCGTTATGAGAGGCAGGACATGGGATAAAATCTGAGGCTTCTGGCTTCTACTTTAGACTCATACCACCATACTATTCCTTCATCCTCCCCATGATGACAAACTTAGGCAGAGGGAATTGACATACTTACCATTAGAAAATATTGCTCCTTGTGGGAAGGAAAGCTCATGACTGTGCTCTGCTTTACAGGAGTACATGGCTTTGGCTTGGCTGAAAGAGCAAGACAACTTGTCAAAACCTCAACACTCAACCTAAGGACATCTATATTTAAAACTCTTCTTCAAGAATGCTATTAATTTTTACTTGTAATTGGAACATAATGTACATAAAGTGCATATATGAGTGTACATCGGTGCTTTTTGCACTGAACACAATCATATTACCAGATCAAGAAATCAAGGATTACTAGCACACTAGAAACCTTTCTTGTGTTTCTAGGCAATGCTCTCCAGGGTAATCCCTGGCTTATAACAATATAGGTTGGTTTTAGAGACTGCTATTATTTAACTGTTTAATAAGTTGCTAAATAGGCTGTTTTTACAGCTATGTAGGAACGAAGGTTCCTAGGTACCCCAAAGCTTTTTTTTCCCCCACTTTCATGTTCAGACTATCTGAGGTGAGATCCAAAAATTGAAAGGCTTAAAGAATATGCTAAGTAAGTTGATTGGGCGTGATATAGGAAAAATAATAGGATAAGTTGATGATAAATGGCAACCAACTATAGCTTCACCATCAAGAAGATGATGGGGACAGGTGGAGGCTTTGCAAACCAGGGTACACCCATCCTTAACAAGAGAAGCCAACCACTCAGCTCCCAACCTCTGTCACTATATGCAAATTCATGCTCAGCATACCAGATACTCTTTTTTTTTTTCAAGTGAAGTCAGAATTTAGGAGTTACATATGAGATATGATCCAAAAATATTTGAGCCAACACTAAAAAGGCAAAATCTGAGGCTGCTAATCAAGGCACCAGGCAGGTCTCCTTTAATCTGCAACATTCAATAACCTGGGTAAGACTTGCAACTGATCCCAACTCCAAGTACTTATCATCTCTTCCACAACCAGAGTCCAAGACAATAGCATTTCCAACCTGGTTGGCTAAATGGCTTCCTGGCTTCCTAGAACCTCTATTCCCTTACAATCCATTATCTATAGAGCAGCCAGAGGGCAGCTTTAAAATGCCCATCAGATCACATTACTTCCCTGACAACCCTTCAACTGGCTTCCTACTCTGGCCCACAAACTATATGCAGTCAGGTGCCGGGTGGTCTCCCCTGCCTCTTTGTGTCCCTGCCTCTGCTCTCCTACTCTACTCCAGTCACAATGGCCCTCTTTCTTTCCTTCAAACATGCCAAATTCATTCCCACCTCAGGCCAGCTATGTCCATGTCCTGAGATGTTTTCCTCTTGATCTTCACATGGCCATGTACTTCAGGTTCATCTTAAATTTCAAGAACTTTGCTGAAGGTCAGGCCTTCTCTGAAATAGCTGCCCAGGGAACTATCATATCTTCCTGCTTCAAGTCTGCATGGTGTTAGTATCTGGTATTTTGTTATTATTGCTGATATTTTTATCTTCTCCCCTAGACACAATAAAATCTCCACGAACGATGTCTGATGCTTAGTAGTATAACTCAGGAAATGTTAGCTAAATGAATGAGTGAGAAAAAGGAAAGATGTTCTGGGTTCATTTTCTACATGATGAGTCTTTTTAAAGATTCAGGGCACCTTATCTATCCTCCTTGGGGTCCCAGCACTATACCTGCAAAGCAGCGTCAGCAGCATTTGCATCCACAGCTCTCCCAAAGCAGCAGCATTACATTATAATTTCATTTCCCTGTTGGAGCTCAACCCTGGATCTTAACCCTACACTTCCAGAATGAGGTCCAGCCATTTAAACTGGGGTTCCCAAAGACTATCTGAAGATTGGAAGGTGTAGAGAGGAAAATTCTGGACCTGCCTCCAGTCTTTTCATCAGAGGTGAGCCTCAGGCTGTACTTTCAGAAAGCTTGCTAGCGGGGCAGATTTGGGAATGACCCTCAGCCCACACAGCACAACGTCCCAGTGAAACATGGTCTAAGGAAGAACTGAGGAAGTAGAGGCACTCAGAGAAGGACAGGACTTTAAAGAACTGTGTGTGTGCACATGAACACATGCACGTGGGTATGTTGGTTGCATAGAGGTTGGAAGTGAGAACATTATCAGGTTCTGAAGACTTCTAAGAATCAGACTATGGTAGTCTCAAATAGAATATAAACTTTTTCCCTATAAATCTTCTAGCCAACTATAACCATTTGATTTGATCAGGATATTACTGAGGACTTCAGAACCATTTTCCTAAAAAAAAGGAAATATTTTTCCAAAAAATCACATTTTCTAATAGCAACAGCTTCCTCCAGTAAACAATAAGTCATATTTCTTTGAACCATTAAGACAAATTATAAAGAGATCGATAAGGAAACAATCTCCGAAGTTGTAGAAGTGATTACAATATTCTTTACAATGACCTAATTTTCAAAACTACACTTTAAAATGTACCCCAAATCTTGTAATTAATATTTTAGACATATATGTTCTCCTTACTTGTATTTATAGTATTTTATGGGACTGGTTGAGGGAGGGGAAAAGCATACAGAATAATTATATCGCTAAATAAATAAAGACATACATATTGTTAAATGTGTCAAAATCACACAGCACAAAATACTACCTGTCATGACTTTTCAATTATCTGTGCACTGACTAGACGGAATTTTCTTCTGCCGAGATCTGTAACTGCAGGTGTTAACTCTGCAGAGAGCTTTGATGATTTAATGTAGACTCTGTAACAGTGAAGTTTCCTCAGGTGCTAACGCTTCCTCTTTTACTGTCTTGGTGTATTGAAGAGGATGTGAAAATAACACTGTCACCTATTGTATCTCTCTTCAGAAGATTCTAATCTCTCTTTGAAAAAGATTTTGAAAATCCTGCCTCTTACTGCTTGGGAGAGTGAGGTAATGGCACAGTTCTGAAAGCCATTTCTTCCCTTATCATTGGAAAAATAATCTGCCCACCAGCCTCATTCCTCATTCTAAATGCCGTCTAATGCATTTAATGAGGAAACTTAACAAAAGTTTGATTGGGTCAGTGTGCAAAATTTGCCAGTGCTTATCTTAAACATAAGAGAAATTTTAAAAATTCATCAAAATTGATACAATGTCTTCAGGAGGCCTTTTGAACAATGAGAAATACACACATTTTGTATGCTATTGACGGTTTCACTTCTGAAGGGAATAGGAGTGCACGGAGGTAGAAAGATACTAAAGCAATACTATATATAAAAGTGGAAATTTTTAAAAATCACAACAATCTTAAGTATTCATCAGTAGAGAACTTAAAAATAAATTAGAGCACACCAATCTAATGAAGTATTAGGCAGCAACTATAGATAATGCTATTGAAGAACTCATGTAATGAAACAATGTTAATGCGTAAGACAAAAAGTTTACAAATTTGTTCTTGGCAAGAACCCTAAATTGCCCATGACAGTTTACCAATAAGCACTGCATTTGTTCCTTTGGCACTAATTGGAGATTTTTTTTTCTTTCTTTTGCTTTTTTTTTTTTTAGACAGGGTCTCACTGGGTTGCTCAGGCTGGAATGCAATAGTGCAATCATGGCTCACTGCAGTCTCGACTTCCGGAGCTCAGGTGATCTTCCCATCTTAGCTTCCCAGGTAGCTGGGACTATTAGGTGCACACCACCGTGCCAATTAATGTTTTATATTTTTTGCAGACACAGGGTTTCAAATTCCTGGGCTCAGGCGGTCCACTCGCCTTGGCCTCCCAAAGTGCTGGGATTACAGGAGTGTGCCACCATGCCCAGCCTAGTTGCAGATTTCTTAAAATTAATTACATGTTCTTTTCAAAGATTTTTTTCCAACAAACACTGGCTGTTTCCAGCTTGAATATCTAAGTAATACTGAATGCCTCAATGCTAAAAACTTCCACCTGAGCCTGTAGAGTTAAAGCTGCTTGTGTCAAAGACATATATATTGCAATTCCATTGAAAAAGAAGTGAAAAAGTGAGTAACAAAGTATTTTTTAGGTTAAAAATGTGCATTTTATTTACTCATTCAACAATTTTATTGAGCATCTATTGTGTGTTGGGCACTATGATAGCAACAATACAGTGAACTCCCCTACCATCCCCGCATCCCTGCCCATGTGTCCTTTTCTGTGTGTTTATCACAGAGGAGTAGTTTTCAAAAGGTGGTCAAGGGAACCTGTGGAGGGGAGATAGAGGGGCAGGCAGAAGCCTAAGATATCATTGCTCTGAAGCTAATGGAATGTATATGACAATTCATTTATTTTGTATTATGTTGGGTATTAAAGATATCTGAAAAAATGTAAAACAGTTCAACTCTTTAGGAAAATATCATTTTTCATTAACATTATGTTATTTGTGCTAATATGTAATAGGCTTATTCTTATTTTCAATAAATACATATTTTAAAATGTTATGTTTGAATTTCCAATACAGTAAATATCAATAAATATAATCCATAAAAACAGAAGCCCTTTGGGGATCCTTAAAGATCTTTTAAGTTTATAAAGGTGTTGTGAGATCAAGAAGTTTGAGAAACCACTGCCACGGATGAGATTAGAAGGCTGTGCACCAAATTTTAACAGTTTTCTTCAGGTGATGAAATTATAAGTGGTTTTAACTTACTTCTTCATTAATTTTCACATTTTCTAAAGGAAAATCATTAAATTATTATTTTAAACATCACAAATTTTTTTGCTTATGGGTGTTATGGTGATTTCTGCATCTTATGTGTGTCTTACATATGTAACTGTGTTCTAAACCAGTGATTTATAGCCTTTTAAAAACTCAAACTCACTGGGCAAGGTAACTTTGTTGAGCTTTTTGTCCTTTGTAATTCTAAGCAAAATATTTGTCTTTTAAAATTTGATAATAGAAACATTTGATTGTTTACAATGAACCAGACACTCAATTCTCAATTTATGCTCTTAATTCTCAATTCAGCCTTCAAAACATATTTGTATAGCTTGCCTGTTTATACTACTTTAAAGTGGATCTCTGCTCTGAGTATAACTGAGACCCAGGTGAAGGTTTTAAGGATACTATTTTCCACATGCCTTTATAATGGTAAGACACAGCCTAGCTACATTTGGCTTTTAAAGGGATTTTATAGGTTAAGGAAAACAATTGTAAATAACCAATGTCTGCTTAGGGCTGTGCCGGGCACTATGACATTTTTCTCTATTCCAAAGGTTCTCAAACTTTCATGTACATAAGAATCACTTGGGGAGGGTGACAAAAATGCAGCTTCCCGAGGCCTCAGTCTTGGACATTGTGGTTTATAAGGTCTATGGCAAAACCCTGGAATCTTCATTTTAACAAGTCTTGCAGCATGGTCCCTCCCATTCCAGTGAACTTGCTTTCTTACAGATCTCCAATGATGTCTTAGGAGTTAAAACCAGTGTCCTCTCCTGATCTCCTAAACCATTTTTTGCAGCTTCTACCACTGTTGGTCATGCCTTCTCATCCTGTCCATTCTTCTCTGTCTGAACGTTAAATAAAACCATTCCCCAAAGACCAATGCTTGGCCATTTGTTCTTTTTCATTTAGTAAGCCTCCTTGCTAGGTACCTTCACCTTCACCTATACAGAGTAATTGCTATGTAGAAGTTTCTTAAATGGCATCAAACTCCATGCTGTCTCCTGGTTCCAGCTGCACCTTTCTAACTGCCTCTCATTGGCCCTCACAGCCTCCTCAAACCCTATGGCCAAAATTTTCCCTTCCTCCTACATATGCACAAGCTAAGATCAGAAGCTAAACCACCATTCTTTCCAACACTGTCTCAGAGACTTGGAAACTTCTTTTCCTGTCTCTGATTCCCAATATCAAAACAGCTGCCCAATCCTGATCCTATTCATAAAAATCTCCTTATAGCTTTTCATCCCTTTGCTACTCTCCTGATTAAGGCCTTTTAAATCTCACCAGTTCCATCCTAAATGGTTGACTGTTCTCTCCCCTTCACAACCTGCTGGAAAATGATCTGTTCTGGTGCATCATAGATTAGATCACCCCTGTGTTCAATGACCTGCAGTGCCTGCAGCAATGCTGGGGGGGTTACTTTTCCGTGGCTCAAGGCCATCCACTAAAATCTCCCAACTGGTCTCTTTCCAAAATATGGCTAGTCTTCCTACTGCCTCTACTGGTTCTATCTCTTTCAAGGTCTAATTCAAGGGTAACCTTGAGCTCCTTAGGAAAAAAACAAAAATGAGACAGGCATTGTAGAAGGTCAGGGAAATTCCCTCAACTTCTATGAGTCATTCAGTTTTATTTAAGAGTACAAAAGAATATCAGGTAACTGTTAAGAGTTAGTGTTTAAATACCACTAATATATTAATCAGAGGCTTGAGTGTCTTAGGCAAGCAGTTTCAACAATAATTATGATAATAGTTATTAATGTAGAAACCATCTACAGAGCACCTGTCATGTTCAAACACAGTATTGTGTACATTCCCAACAATGTGGCAAGCTGAGAATTATGATCTTCATTGTATGGATAAAGAAAACAGATTCCCCAACATTGGTAACTCTGAGGTTACACGAACTAGAAAGTGGTGACCTAAAAATTTGAACTAGGGTCTGTCTGACCTAAAGTTCATTCATGTTCCCCTGTGCCTCAGTGAAAAGTTGTCACACAAATCACAAGTGTTGTGAACTGACAGACTGTAACTCTGAAGGTAGAGCTGAGTGAGCTCTAAGTTTATGCTGATCCCCACTAAAAGTTGATTTAGAGTATTCAGAATGCAAAAACATATTAAAGAAGTATGAGTTGGCTGGGTGCAGTGGCTCATGCCTGTAATCCCAGCACTTTGGGAGGCTGAGGCGGGTGGATCACCTGAGGTCAGGAGTTCAAGACCAGCCTGGCCAACCTGGTGAAACCCTGTCTCTACTAAAATTACAAAAATTAGCTGCACATGGTGGCACACACCTGTAATCCCAGCTACTCGGGAGGCTGAGGCAGGAGAATCACTTGAACCTGGGAGGCAGAGGCTGCAGTGAGCCAAGATCGCACCACTGCACTCCAGCCTGGTGACAGAGCGAGGCTCTTTCTCAAAAAAAAAAAAAAAAAAAAAAAAAAAAAAGAAGAAGAAAAAGAAGTATGATTTGACTGTTGAACATCTGAGTGTATTTTTATTATATGATAGCTTTCTGATTTACTTCATCCATAGCTTGTTTTCTTAAAGCTCTACGGGGATTACCTCTTTGATTATGATTACCTGAGTTTTTACTTAACAGGCTGACTTTTTAGAGCTTCCTAATAAAAGGGCTCCATCTAGTGAGCAATTCAACTACGTAGCATGGCAGAAGAAGTAGCAAGGTTAAATCCCTTACACTAAAGCCTAAAAATCAAGACAATCTCAGAGAAATGATGTTTGCTGTGACATGCATGGGGCTTAGTTTTCACCATGCTTCGGTCAAAAGGAAGATAAAGACACTGCTGACAGAGGTAAGGTTCACATGCTCTTGGCTCAGCTATTTAAATGCTAGGCACTGACCATTATTCTAGGAAGATACCAAAGTGGCTCTACTCTCTGCAGTTAAAAAAACCTAATACATGAGGGCCCTTACTGGGCTTTGAACAAAACCAAAGAGAGTTTGAAGGTTATTGTTATTGTTATTCTTAATAACTATCACATGCCCAGTACTGTCTAGGTACTTTATAAATGTTTGCTGAAAAAGTCCATATACTTTTACAGGTTGATAAAAATTATTTGGTTAAATAACTTTTAGAGGAACTATACAACAACTATACAACAGTATCTGTGATTCCTTTCCTTCACAGCCTCAATTAGCCAGACATTGGATGCTCAAAAATGTGTTCGTACATCTAAAGGAAAAATCAAGGTTTGTTATTCAAGTTCTCACATTTATATGCTCTTTCAACAATAGGCATTGAGTGTCTCCTACCTGTACTAGCAGCTGATAGTAAAAAAAAAAAATAATGAAAAGCCTCTGACTTTATGAAATTCCATTATTCAAATTAAAAACCGAAGCCCACTGTAGATCAAGAATAAATTTGAAAGCAAGAAGAGTAAAGTAGGAACTTTAGAAGCAAGCACATTAGTAGAAGCAAGATGTAACAACTCATATCCTTTTAATAATGGAATGGAATGTAAAATCTGAGAACCCCTAATGAAATTATGTACTCTAAAAACAGAGTCGCTTTGGGCAATTAACTCTACAACATCTCTGAGATCCTTAAGGATAACCATATTTTTCCATGGATATTCATGATGATTCCTCCAGAAAAAGTTATATAACTTTTAAAAATCAAGAACATGCTTTTGAAAAGTGGTCCCAAAATGACTGTCATCAAAGATGTATAAAGGATTATAGCAATTTTTATCTTCTAGGAAATGTGTTTGTTTAGAGCCCTTCTACTGTGAAGATTTCAGCAAATGAGACATCACTATAACAATGTGAGATGATATATGCTGTTTACAGACATGACTTCCTGTGAAGGGCCAGTGGACTTAAATTTGACCATCTGCATAATGGAGAGGCGGAGCTGTCACAGAGAGTGTCATGTCAATACAAAGCAACAATGTCACCACTTTTTTTTAGATGCATTTAAGGGTTTGGAGAACTTACCGCCCAGAAGAAACTGGTTTAGGTGAACCAACATTTTCAAACAGTTGAGCTTTTGCTGCCACTCTGAAAAATGATTTAAAATGCAAGTTTCATGAAGTCAATCACATTCAGTTCTGCTCAAAGTGAAATTCATGATTGCCAGTTAAACAAGACAAAAAATGGTTGAGAACCATTGCCAAAATTAGAAGGGAATTTTAATTGTTTTAACCTTTAATGTCAATGAGATTTTTAGATCTAACCTCCAGCTTACAGAGTACCAGGCTGTAATTAACCAATAGCTACTTCCTCTGGGGATCTTACTATCCTCATCCTTTTTATCTCAGAAAACCATGGGAGCAGTAAAAGGAACATTTTCTCTCTACTCTGCTCCCAGCAGCACGGCTATTGACTCCTGTGGAGCCACGAGTGAAGATGCAAAGAATCAAATCAACATGACAAAAGAACTGTTGTTCATTCTTTTAGCTAAGAAAACACTAATTATAATACTATTGATGTATTTTTTTAATATGTGAACATATGTCTGTAAAGTGAAAAGGGCAAACTCTGAAAATATGGCCAATAAACAAATCTGTAGATTTACATCTTGTTTCAAATCATGGAGGGCAAGGCAGAGAGGATATGTTCTAATTGAACAGGTAAGACTATCAGGTATGACTAAAAAGAATTGAAAGAGTTTCTATATTTACTGGAAGACTCTATAAAATTCCTTGATGTTCTAAGCTAGATTTTTAAAAAATCTATCTTATTTCTTTAATTGACAAACTCTTCTCCCAGAGCCAAGCCATTTGATTATCTCAAAGATCATTTTACACCTAATATAGAACACACACTTTAATCATTTGAATTTCTACTTTATGGGTACAATCACAAAAGAGAAACTCTTCTCTTTCCTCCACCAAGAATGGAGTTTATATTCTCTCATCTTCCCTAATACATTGGCTTAACATTTCTTTCCCTTAATGGGCAGAACTACACACAGTGGGGAGTAGACACACTGACAAATATATTTGCCTATACCACTGTAACTGGATTTCTAACCAAAAGAGATAAGGTACATTGAACATGCTCTGCAACCAAAAGGTTCCTGTCAGAGAAAAGGATGAACTAATGAATTTATGACACAGTTCCTATAGAAACAGGCTTAGTAAAATGTCTTACTGGACTTTTAATGAATAATTAAAATGTCAGGAAGAATGCCATCATATTAAAAATGGAGAAGGTAAAACAGAAGGAGCACAGAATTGTAGTCAGAGAACCCTAGGTTGGAAACGGTAGAAAAGCATCAGTTCTCGTCATCTCTAAAATGTGGTTTATACTACCCATTTCCAAAGGACACTGCAGACCTTAAAAGAGATAACTCATGTAAAGACATCCAGTAATGGCTCAGAGAGCATTAGGAAATTCTCAGCAAATGTCAGGAAAACAAAATGAAAGGGAGAGAAACTTTTTATCTCTCTTTTTTGCTTACTTGTTTAGCCAGGTTTCCATTGTTCTTCTTCACCCACTTTCTACTCATGTCTATGTACCCTTCTCCTACCAGCCTTTACAGTTCTGCATCATTTCCTTTGATGAGAAGTACCCACTTTTGCCTTGCATATTCCTCATTCTCTACTAGCTTGTTTAAATCAGTGAGGACTCAGGTATGCGGGCGTAGGATGGAAGTGAGAAAGAAGCTGCTTTAAAACAGTGAGGAGAGCAGGGACCTGGCTTATAGTCAATGCGTGGCAGTCTCTTCAGCGGAGAGATGGATGTTTAGCTTTTAATGGGAACACTTTTAGTTCCAAAGCTTATAACTACTGTATTATACATCAGTTTTCATTTCCTCAAATTAAGTCATAGCTCTGCTTCAAAGGAAAGTGCTTGAAGTGCTGCCCTGTGAGAGAGATTCTGTCCATATCCGAAGACTTCCACATCACTCATAGAAAAGAATAGAGTCTTACAGAAGTGGACTGTACCCACTCTACAGATAAAGTATTCCCAATGTATTCAACTTGTGGGATTCCCAAGAGTTCTTCTGAAACACTCAACTCCTCTCTGTATCCCTGGGAGACACAGCAAATATACAAACGCTCACTTACACTGAGCCAGGCCGCTGATAGCCATTGCTTGAGGCAGTGTCTAGTCTTAATCTCCTGCACATTTTCGGAGGCAGGTCTGGGTTTGGTGAAGCTTTGGGTGTCTCCTTGGAACCTACAGAAGTTAAGCTTTGAATAGATCCACTGTAGCTCTTGTTTCCTAAAAAGAAAGCCCAAGAAAATAGGCAAGGTGCTATTAGACAACATAATAGCAATAACACGTACATGTGCATAACAAAAGGAAGCATTTTTCTCTGAGCCCAAATGGGAAGGTACAGAATGTTCTTTGAGTACAGCAACCCATCACTTGGGGAGATCAAAATCTACAATAATTACAAAGACATCACTTCACAGACATGGAAAGATTCAGGAAAAATGTCACAGTGCCTAGGTTGTAAAATCCAAGCACAGGAAAAAAGTAGATAAGCATCATTAGTTTCTCCACCATTAACTTTATCCCT
Organism: Homo sapiens; assembly: GCF_000001405.40. NCBI lineage: Eukaryota > Metazoa > Chordata > Mammalia > Primates > Hominidae > Homo > Homo sapiens. The sequence goes on along the minus strand of NC_000011.10, from coordinate 100,976,513 downwards.
GCTTAACCATGCTGAATAATCCAGCACAAGTGACACTGAGACAATGACATCTTGCACAAGTTCCACTCTGCCTTACCTTCAGCTGCAGAGATGGATCTGAGAGAAGAAGCAGAAGCTCTTTTCAGTCCTGAAAGCCCATAAGGCTCTTTCTTGACTAGGTCTATGGGTGGGGAAACGTCTCCTGGGCTAGTGACTGAAGCAACACTCTGGCAGTCTGATTCTGCATCTGTCTTGGTTGCATCTTCTCTGGAACTTGATTCAGGACTAGTTGTCCACAGACCAAGGCTTTTCTGTCCATTGGAAGATGATGGGGTTGCAATCCAAGGAATCCCTCCAGATTTCTCCCTGGGCTGGCAGGAAGCTGACTTTGTAGTGCTATTTTGTTCAGAGGAATGAGAAGAGAGTGACTCAATGCTCCCCATAGGTGTGCTGTCTGGGCTGCTGCTATAGGAGTCACCTAAGGAGTAGGAGGGAGAGAGATGAAAGCAACTGTAACTATCTATTGATAACAGCATCACCAAAACCCTTCTGTTCTCCAACTTACCATGTGTTCTGCGGCCACCTGACCCCATTAAAGTGGTAGGCCCCTACCTAGTACGGAGAACTGTCCTCAGTACTGGAGAAAGGCTTTAAAATATGCATTTGAACTTGCCAAACGTATTTTTCAATGCTATTTTAGGAAGTTTATGTATGTACCTATGAACTACCTGCCTTTAGATAATAACTTTACTTCTTGAAGCATAAGTGGGTTGACTTGAATTCCCACAAAATTTGTTTATGAAACAGGATTCAGAAGTAAGAGAAATAAGATTCCTTCATGATATTACAAGGAATCAATGAAAGGGGGTATAGTAAAAACATATTTCTGCTTTCTTTTACTTTTCTGATCATAGGTGATTGATTCCAAGTTACAAAGTACTCAGCCTTCTTTCATTCAAAGGCACCATTAAATGTCAGTAGTAAATTACAAGTACCTCAATTTTCAAAGGCTTTTTTCCTTTCCTGCTAAGAATATAGAAATGTAAGAAACTGGCTATTTTGCTGGTTTTATTTCCTAATGTTCCTAAAAGCAAGTTATAAGAAAAATCAGATAAAGCATAATAATGCATTCACATATATCTAAATTAAAAATTAGTAAACTATTTTTTTAAATTTTTCTGGGTACATAATAGGTATGCATATTTGTGGAGAACATAGGATATTTTGATACAGGTGTGCAACTTGAAATAAGCACATCATGGTAATGGAGTATCCGTCTCCTCAGGCAGTTGTCCTTTGAGTTACAAACAATCCAATTACATTCTTTTAGTTATTTTAAAATATATAATTGACTATTTTCTATTAAATATTGACTGTGAGCAAAAAATTGGGGTGGGGGGTATAAAATAAAATGAGAACAGCCACAGTTTAATGTGTGCCATGGTGTCAAGATGCCACCCACATCACCTTAGGGCTTGGCTCAGAATTGTAAGTTGATGATAATGTGTGTTGTTTCTTTTTATCTTTTCTCTTTCAGACACTGATACCCAAGAGATAATGCTTTAAGAACATAATGTGAAAGGAAGGAAGAAAATGACAGCTTCAGTCAGACTTTGTCTTGCTTTCTTCTTTACCACTTTGACAATAGGACAGAACCTGCTACAAAGGAGCACCCAATGTACTTAATCACAGTTGCAGAAAAAAGGGCCTTGAGCCCTTTTTTCTTTTTTTCCTTTTTGTATCAATAATGAATTTGCTTACCCAAGCAACTGTACAACTATTGACAGAGAATATACAAATGATAAAAGAGGAGGTGTTGGGGAAAGAGCATCAGTGAGAACATCTTCTATTTCTACCTAATTACCAATACAGTGAAATACATCTGAACCAAAGAATGAAGAAAGCATCTCCCTAAGGCCGGGTGCACTTACTATCAGGTTCGGCCAGGCATGGAGTATACCTCCCTCTGGGCTTCCTAGACCCTGTAGAGAGGCAGATTGCTCGTGTCCTTCGGGATCCAGATCGAGACTGAGGCTGAGGAAGAGGAATGCTTGGGTCTGGAGCAGTATGAAAAATCTACGTATAAGAAAAATGGACCAAGGTCAATAAAAGGGTGATATTGCCACTTTCATTATAAAATAAGCTTTGAACCATATGCTACTTAATCAGCTGCAAAATATAAGTATCCTAGAGCAATTGTAACTTTTCCATTTATCTGGAGTATTCTTTCACGGGGTTTTCTTTTTTATTCTCTCCCATTTCCCAAAAGTAAAATCTAGAAGATCTTTCAATAACTTTAAGAAACCTTCCAAATATGAACAAGACATATTGATGGTTTTTATTGTAATACTCTCTTTCCACCTTCATACTCTGAAAAAACATAACCTGAGAAGAGCTGAGGCTCACTCTATATCATTTCTCCCACTGAATGGCTCCTTGCTTCTCAGGAGAAGATGCTGCCATGCTGTTGGCTCTGAGCTGCCAAGGAGTGTGGCTAGCTGCAGGTTAAGGTATGTGCAGAGCTACAGGACACAGCCATGTGCTCTTGCATTGTGAGAGAGCTTGTGCCCTTAGATAGACACTAAGGGCATGCTTCTGTGGGTGCTGGGAAGGGACCCAGGGGAGGAGAAGGCCTTAATCATTCTCTCACAAGGACCAGATCAGAGATAAAAGGATTACAAATTGTTAGACCTTAAATGGTTCAATTTGCTTAATACTCCAACTAATTCAGCTTTCAAAATTTCCCATTTTCATAGTTATTCTAAGATCTCACTTTTTTCAAGAAATCCTTCTTAGGGACTAGATATAGAGAAGACTTCAAGACTGTTGCCTATATTTTTTTCTTTTGTTTAGTTAGAACATTACCTCTATATAATTAAGAGTTTGATTTCAAAGGGATACAAAGAGAAGGTTAAAATAGAACCAACCACAAAGTGATTTTAAAATGTTCTCTGCACAGGAGCAATAAACTTACCATACAATGTAAAGAAGAAAACCTTTTGAAGTCTATTATGTAGAAGGAAAGAAAACCACCTAACTGAAGGATTTTGAGAAGCACTTAAAAACAACAAGGAAAGAAAACTGAAGTCCCCATTAAGAAGTAATTTATACAAAACTCATGAGCTCACAGATCAAATGCAAAATTCCTTTATAAAACCAAGATATAAAACTTGACACTTCCACATGAAAATTCCGCCTACCTTTTCATAGTGCTCTATCAGAATTTCTACCACAATATTCTGAAATTTAATATTCATCATAGCAGCCACAGTTTCTTCCTGTGCTCTCATTAGAGTTGGGCCAAATATGACACCAAGATTTGAGACAGTCATGAGATTTTGTTGGCTGTGTAGTGATACTCTGCAAATAAAAAGCAACAAAAATATCTTAAGTTATATGTTTCAAAATTATGAAATAGTCTCTTCTATCAAATTTGTGGTGCAAAAAATGTAAAATATGCCATTATAGGGAAATTGTCCTACTTTTAGCCACTTCCAATTGGCATTTGGAGTATGGCCTAAAAAGATGTAAACAGATAACATTAACTCACGTAAAACATAATTACAGGCAAAACAAAATCTATTAAAGAAAAAAACCCCTAATTTCCTAAATCAAGTACAATTACCCTAGAAAGATGATCAGCTGTTTGGTATTTTCAATGCTACTATATTTCTTTTGGAACAAACAGTTAAGAATAGACTGGTGGCAATTATATTCAGAGTCACCAAACATATTATTGAGAATCTATTGCCAGGAATTTTCCTACATATTATTGTATTTAGTCTTCCCAGTAAGTCAGATATTCCTATCGTACAAATTTTAAAAACCTCAGAGGCTCCTAAAGAAACGTGTATTTTGAGGTCACAACAAATTCAGGACAGAGGTGGCTGTTTCAATTCAGGTCTCCTGACTGCAAGTCAGTGGGTTCCTTGAGCTCCTGGGATAGATCATTGGCCAACATGTTTCTTTTCTTTCTCTTTCCTCTTTCCATCCATCCATCCATCCATCCATCCATCCAAAACTTCCCTGAGTACCTCCCTAGTATTGGGTGCTGTGCTAGGCAAACAGTGAGACAAGGAGATGTGGTAGCATCATTGCTGGCTTGACAATCAAATCAAAAACCTCTGATATCACTGACCTGAGTGAAGTAATCCTAGCAACTCTCAAGAACGACTTTGACTAGTTCACTAATCTATTCTGGAAATTAGATACATTCTTTAGAGGATACCTCATTTGTTTGACTTATCTTTTAGTTTAACCACTCACTTTTCTATCTTACTCCAAGTCAGGTTATTAGTATAACACAAGATTATGTTTATGTCGGACTGACCATGCGTCACAAACTGCATTCTACAACCAAAAGTAAGATTTTATGGGAAATCCAGGATTTTAGACTATCCATGCAACTCCTGTCACAAAACAGGAAGAGAAAGCTGCCACGCTGACTGACGTTTTCCTTATGCCGTAGAGAGCACTAGCTAAGAAAGCATTTACTTCAAGTAAGAAGAGTTTCATTCCAAGTTTCCTTTTAATATAATCAAATACTATATATTAATTGCTTAATATGTATTAGAAAATCTACTCAGGAAAGTAGTATGTAAATGTAGTAAGCCTATCTAGATTCAGAGCTTGGATCCATCTCTTGGAAGTTGGGTAAGCTCATTTATGTTATTTAATATCTCTAGGTTTCGGTTTCCTTATCTGTAAATTATATATATAACAACCCATGTTAGGTTGTTGTGAGAACTAAATAAAATAATAAATTGTATATGATCTCAAGATAATATTATCCCTGAAATTAAATTAGCTTTAGGCACTCTTGCTAAAATGTCATGGTTCCCATAATGTAAATAAAGTGGAATATAGTTAATATTAAGCTCATTAGGAGTAAACTTGGGAATCTCAAAAACTTGGTTTTGAAAGGTGGGTTAATGACTACATTGCACAGAAGATGGATTATTTTAATGACTGATTTTCTTTTTATTGAATTTTCTTTCTGCTGGGCTACTCAATAGATACAGACTCCCACCACTCACCATTTCAGCAGGTTCTACTACTTATTTCCCCAATTCATGTAGGGAGCTGATACTCAACTGCTGTCTCCTGGAACATCTCTCTTTCTTTTATTAAAAGAGGAAATGTATATCAGGATCTGTCAACTTGTATTGTTTCAAATCTAGGAGTTTACAAATAAAGAAACCAACATTATATACTTAAGAGTTCTACTTATGGAAATGGTAGAACATAAGGAGCCCCATGGATCCAATAAACAGAGAAAAAATCATAAAGGATAAAAATTATTATTTAAAACCATAACCAAAAACAGTTAAAGTCTCTATAAAAAAAACTTAAAGAATAAAGAAATATTTGTTCAAGCAAATCTACTAATTATCAGTAAGAAAAGCCGAGAGTCTGTGGCTTTTGAGGTACAACTGGCTCCCTCTTTCTTCCACCCTCAGCTCAATATGACTAAAACTTCACTCTGGGCAAATGTGGCCAAGAAGACAGGGCTCCCTCTCTTCTCAGCCCCAAGTCAAGTGATGCAGTATCTCATGGGGTTGGCAGGCTGTGAGCATATCTCAGGCCCTCTATCTCTGGGTTGCAGAGGCTGAATTCCCAGCGAATGCAACTCAAAAGGCACTCACTGGGAATTCAGCCTCTGAAACCCAGAGAATTCTTTGCCTCCAACTAGCCAGACATCTAGGGTGGATGGCTTTACCTGAGGTGCAGCAGGCCAAGAATATTGGTGCCAAAATCTCCCTCGTTTCAGGACTACCTCCCTCAGCCAGTGCCAAGAGCAATGGGTCAAAGATTTTACCCAGAGGGGGTAGAGTCCATAAGAACAGAAAACTCTGACTCTCTCGCTAAATCATAAGAAATAACTAGGGAAAGAGACAGAAAGAGCCTTTTTAGCATCATAACAAATCTCAAAGACTGTTTGTTTTTTTTTTAAGTGACCTGGCAAGGAGCTGGAATTTAACTGGATATGCTCCAGGGTGTTGTCAAAAACAACAGAGCAATCTACTAGCAGTTAGTGAAAACTAACAAGCTGGATGTGATACCAAATGAAGCAGACATATTTATAGATCACCTAAGGAAATAAACAGAACTCTCCTGAAACTATTGTTATCCCTGGGTGACTGTGGTCATGTCCCAGGCTGCATTCTCTGAAGAGATAATAGAAGAGGCTTCACACAGAGGGGGAAATAGACTTCATTAAAATAGTTCACTAAAGATACTGAATTAGTCTGGGCACGGTGACCCAAACCTGTAATCCCACCACTTTTGGAGGCCAAGGCGGGTGGATCACCTGAGGATCAGGAGTTCAAGACCAGCCCAACCAACATGGTGAAACTTCATCCCTACCGAAAATACAAAATTAGCCGGGTGTGGTGGTGAGTGCCTGTAATTCCAGCTACCTGGGAGGCTGAGGCAGGAGAATCACTTGAACCCGAGAGGCAGAGGTTGCAGTGAGCCGAGATTGTACCACTGCACTCCAGCCTGGGTGACAGAGTGAGACTCTGTCTCAACAAAAAAAAAAGACACTAAACAAACAAGCAAACAACAATAAAAGCTAGAGAGAATCAGTACTAGTATCAGTATTCGTTGCTACAAAACAGTAGCTAAAATGCCATGTCTTCAACCAAAAAGTATGACAATGCAAAGAAACAGCAAAGTGTGACTCATACACCAGGCAAAAAGTAGATAATAAAAACTGCCTGTGAGCAGACCCAAACATCAGATTTAAACAGAAAAAGACTTCAAAGAAGTCACAAATATATCCAAAGTCCTCAAGAAAACCATGTCTAAAGATAAAGGAAAGTACAGAGGTGTGGTGGCAATGTTTCATCAAATAGAGAATGTGAATAATGAGAGAGAGGTTATTTTAAAAATAAGAACCAAATGTAAATTGAAGTTGAAAAGCACAATAGCTGAAATGAAAAGTATCAATAGAGACTATGCAATCTGAGGAATGGAGAGAAAGAAAAAAATAAAGAAAGATAGATCATCAGAAAAAAATCTGTGACATTAAGCACACTCATAAATGCATAATGGGAGTACCAGTAGCAGATGAAAGAGAGAAGTAGAAAAAAATACTCAAAGATATAGTGGCTGAAAATTTTCCAAATTTAATTTAAAACATTAATCTATATATCCAAGAAGCTCAACAAACTCCAAGTAGAATAATTGCAAAGATATCCACAGCAAGACACATCACAGTAAAAGTGCTGAAGCCAAAGACAAAAAGAAAATTCTGAAAGCATCAAGAGAAAAAGTCTTACTGGGGTCTACAAGGAACCCCAATAAGCTTATTTCTCAATAGAAACAATAAAGGCTAGAAGGCAGAGGGATGGCATATTCAAAATGCTTAAAGAAAAAAAAAGTCTGCCAACTAAGAATCTTCTATCCAGCAAAACTAACCTGCAAAAAGGAAGGTGAAATAAAGGCATTTTCAGGAAAACAAAAATTGAGAGAACTTATTGCTAGCAGATCTGCATCACAATAAATACTAAAAGATGTTCTTCAGGCTGAAGGCAAGTGACCTTAGACTGTAATTCAAATGCACATGTAAAAACAAACAAACACACACAAAAAAACAAAAAAACACCCAGTGTAGGTAATTATGTAATTAAAAGAGTAGAAATATATATTTCTTCTCCTTCCTTTTCTTGATTTTAAAATGCAATTTTAATAATATGTATGTATTAATAATTATATTGTTGGGCCTATAACATTTAAAAATGTGATATATTTGACAGTAACAGCCCAAATGAAAAGCATAAAGCAAAGCTGTACTGGAGTAAGAAAATAATACCAGATGGTAACTCAAATTCACAGGAACAAATGAAAAGGTTAAAAAATGGTAAGTAAGAAGGTTAATAAATGTATCAAACTCTATAAATGTACTTACTCCTTTTCCCTCAACTTCATTAAGAAGCATTAAATTACATAAATAATTATAACAATGGATTGTTGGGATATAACATATATAGATATAACATGTTTATTAATGATAGCACAAAAAGGAGAAAGAGGAAACAGAATTATGTAAAAATAATGTTTCTATGCTCACATGAATTAAGTTAAGTACATTCTGATAAGATGTATATGATAAGCCCTAGAAAATCTATTAGGACAAGAAAGCAGTAAAATTGGAACTGAATAGCAAAGACAACATGAAACATATAGAAAACAAAAAGAAAAATGGTAGATATAGGTCCAACCACATCAATAATAACATTAAATGTGAATGGATTAAACAATATAATCAAGTCAGAGATTATCAAAGTGAATTAAAAAACAGTAAGATCCAACTATATGCTTTCTACAGTAGATATACATTAGACTCAGAAATACAAACAGGTTGAAAGTAAAAGGATAGAAGATGTATCATGCAAACAGTAACCAAATGAAAGCCAGAAGAACTGTACCAATATCATACAAAATAGATTTTAAAACAAAGAAATGCTATTAGAGATAAAGATAAAATATAATGACAAAAGGATCAATCTGGCCAGGTGTGGTGGCTCATGCCTGTAATCCCAGTACTTTGGGATGTTGAGGCGGGTGCATCACGAGGTCAAGAGAGCGAGACCATCCTGGCCAACGTGGTGAAACCCCGTCTCTACTAAAAATGCAAAATTTAGCTAAAATTAGCTGGGCGTGGTGTCACATGCCTCTAGTACCAGCTACTCAGGAGGCTGAGGCAGGAGAATCACTTGAACCCAGGAGATGGAGGTTGCAGTAGGCCCAGATCGCGCCACTGCACTCCAGCCTGGCGACAGAGCGAGACTCTGTCTCAAAAAAAAGAAAAGGGTCAGTCTAACAGGAATATATAACAATTATAAACATATATATATAGCTAATAACAGAGTACCCAAATACATGAAGCAAAGTCATGTGCTCCTAAGTGGGCTTTCCAAACAGAGAACCAAGAGTTTTGTTTAGTTTCACATTTGTACTGAGTAAGGATTATTGGTCACCTGAATATTATTGAATTAAAAACATCGATTGGCAAATTTAATACCACTAGCAAATATCCATGTGTAAAATCAAAAGGTTTTCGTTTAGGAGAAATCAACTTTCACTTTTTCCTTTATATTCAAAAGAAATTCCATAATAATTTTCTAAAATGTTATATCTCCTAATGAATACATAAGTCCACCCACAATATATATTTTTTGTAATTTAATAACACTTTTAAATATTTAAATTTAGTTGAGAATCAAAGAAAACACCACAGATAGCAAACAAAAGGACTCTTAGGAAGAAAGCAATGATTTATACTGTTACTCAGAGTTAATTAATGGAAATTTGGAATCAGTCTTTAGTCTTTGGAATCCCAATCTAGGTAGACTGTCCTAATTTTTTTTCAGCCATGAAAGGTTGCCAGGGATCAAGAGTGTTATTAGCTGTTTGCTGTTTTTATAAGTAAATTTGTGGTGATCTGAATGCACATTCGGTGAGCAGGGCTTGACCTTTTGTAAGTTCAGAAAGAAGCCAGGAATGCTGGGGAAGGATGAGCAAAGTAAGTTATATTTCAAATGTATATGGCTCAAATAAGCATAAATTGGGTTATTACTAATTATGAACAATGAAGGATTAATCATTTTATTGTAAACCATGGTACTCATTAAAATGGGAAATATCCCTATTAAATACTAAATAATGCTACAGGAAATTCTTAAGTAAGTTTAAAACTGGATTTAGACATTTGTTTCCAGCACCATAGCAAACTCACTTCGGGCTTAAATATGTGTTTGTCTCTCTCTCTGTAGCTTTCAAATTATAGAAAGATAGATAGTAGATAGATATAATATTTATAATGATTAATTTTACATGTCAACTTGGCTAGGCTATGATACCCAGATATTTGGTTGAAGATTATCCTAGATGTTTCTATTAAGGTATTTTGTTCAGATGACATCATCATTTAAATGAGTAGTCTTTAAGTAGAGTAGATTACCCTCCAAAATGTAGGTGGGCCTCATCCAATCAGTTGAAGATCTTAAAAGAAAAAAAACTGAGTTCCCAGAGTAAGAAGGAATTCTGTCTCAAGATTGCCTTTGGATTCAAGCTTCAACATCAACTCTTCCCTGCCAGCCTGCCCTGCAGATTTCAGACTTATTAGCTTCCATAATCAAGTGAACCAATTCCTTAAAATCAACCAATCTCTATCTCTTTATATATATATTAAATATATGTACACACACACTATTGCTTTTGTTTCTGCAGATAGCTCTGGCTAATACAGTATTTATCTACAAAGAGAGATGGTAAATATATGAATAAACTAGCAGCAAAGTTAGAAAAATCTCCAGAGATCAAGTGAAATCATGAATACATGGAGGGAATCTAACAGTTAAGTGTTAGTTTGACCTAGGGGAACCTGTTGACTTTAGTAGTATAGAGCACTGGTCTTCAAACTCATTGCTTATAATGCACCTAAAAGAATTGGGAGGAAAAAAAACTATATACTCCTTCATTTTTAAGTTGACACATCTAATTGTTTCATCATTAGTTTAACAATTGCAAAGGATATAATTATTTGCATAATTATATGCAAATAAACATATACAGGTACACACACTTACATAGAAATATCTTAAAAACAAACTGCCATACTATTTTTTAAGCAAATTCAATGGACTCTAATTATAATACCAATGTTATAACATCATCACACACTTTAAAAAGACATGAACAAACTTAACAATGAACAATAAGTTAAATGAACAATGTAAGTTAGAGAATTACTTGACCAGATGCTTTATTAAGATGTCCAGCATCTCTCTGTTTTTCTCCGGCAATTTGTGCACCAATGCATGTACAGCCTCCACCCTGTAGTTTTGATCATCAGATTCTGTTACATAAAAAAGATTGCAAATGCTCAAGTTTTAATTCCATTCAATTGGGTATGTAAACATTAGTAATCTAATCACAATTACCACTCCTACCCCTCATGCCTCATAGGCATTGCTTCATGTAGTACTGTCATTATCATTCCCTATGGCTTGCAGAAGTTGAGTAACTTGCCCATGGTCATGAAGTTAGGAAGTAGAGAAGCCAAAGAAGCCCAGTTCTACTGATTCCACACAGATGCTCTTAGCCACTGAACTGTATACTTTGATACAGCCAAAACTCATCACCTGCTTGGGTTTTACTACCTGAAGACAGAATCAAACCTTTAGAAATGTGAATGATCACAGCAATTGCTATAGACTGCCTAATGTGCCAGTCATTAGAGTACGTATTAGCCCATTGATATGGTTTGGCTGTGTCCCCACCCAAATCTCATCTTGAATTGTAGTTCCCATAATCCCCAAGTGTTGTGGGAGGGACCCAGTGGGAGGTGAGGTAATGGAATCATTGGGCGGTTACCCTATGCTGTTCTCTTGATAGTGAGTGAGTTCTCACAAGATCTGATGGTTTTATACGGGGCTTTTCCCCCTTTCCTCAGCACTTCTCTCTCCTGCTGCCATGTGAGGAGGCACCTTCCACCATGATTGTAAGTTTCCCGAGTCCTTCCCAGCCCTGCGGAACTGTGAGTCAATTAAACCTCTTTTTCTTATAAATTACTGAGTCTTGGATATTTCTTCATAGCAGTGTGGCAATACACCCACAGAGAGCTCCTAGAGATTCAACCCAGTGTGACCAGATGAAGCCCCAGATTCCTCTCCTTATCTTACAAATATAAAGACAATACAGAAGGGCTGTTCTGAAATGTTAGCATTATTACATAAACACAAGCCCAACAGATTTTTAGCCCATAATGACAACGGTAAATGTAAAATGTAAGAACTCATTTATGGCAAGTGTCGTCTGCCAAGTCAAAGCTAAGATGTTGACATGTCTGCTGGAGAAATGTCTAACATTTCAGAACAAGAAAGCTTCACTTAACATTCTCTTACTGCAGCAAATAAATTCTGGGATGATTGCCCACTATACCAAATTCTTTCTCCAGAAAGTACCTTGACTCATAGGATTCACATTATGGGACTACCATTTCATCTGGGCGCAGTTATTTAGACATGGAGTGAGGAAAGAGCCTGGCTCAGGCTAAACATGAGGTCTAACCTAGCAATTGGAATGGAGACATCAAAAATCTGATCTTTCCGCATATGTGAAAAGGCAGATAATGTAAAATCAGGGCTGAAGTGACCAAATCTACTCCAAGAAAATCTGACTGGGAAGGAAAGTGAGAATGATAGAAATACAGTAGAGAACAAAGATGAGAGATCCTCCAGAAAGAGTGAGTAGAGAAATGTCAAATCCCAACTTGGCAGTTCCTGGTTGCAGGCTCATGGAAACCCTGACCTCTGTTCTGCCAAGGAATTCACTGAAATATCTCTTAGGATCTGAATAACTTCCCCTTTATACTGAGCTGGACTTTTGCTGCTTGAAACCAAATAACCTAATTTTCTTAACTTCACATCTAGTAAATATGGCTATGTTAGGTCCAGACAAAAGATGAGTTCTTATATATAAGATATATAAGATATTTTAAATATCATAGTCATGAATATTATTATAATAATATAATCATCATTTGCCACAGAAGCAAATGGAGAAAAAACTTGTGACCAAAAGCTTGACTAAAACAATAAGCTCATTGAGCCATTTTAGCCAAGTAGCTCAAATTTCTTTTGTTATAAAGCAAAATTTCTGTAAGAAAGGGTTCTGGGTTAAGAGTAAAAAGAACAAAAAACAGGCTTGCAGCCCTGATTTTGCCATGAATTTATTAGGGTCATTGTACATGTTACTTGCCCACTTTGTGTCCTGATTTCCTAGTTCATAGAATGAGAGGTCAGATTATATATTTTTTCTGGTCCTGTATGTCTTACAAAGATTTCTATGAAGAGGAGGTAGAGTGGAGAGCTTCAAGAGAAAACTAAATAGTGTAGATTTATATGAGATCATGTGGTTAGTCATAAATGCTGGATTGAAAACCGAGGTCATTCAACTTTATCTGACACTTTTATCAGCACACATTTCCTGTGACATTACAATGTGTGCAAATAAACTAAAGCAACTAATTTATTTCTTGGATTGTGAAAAATAATCTGGTTGTAGTCACACCTCATACATCTTAACAATGAAATGCCAGCTCTTAATTGTTACAGGTTGTTGTGATGGGCTCAGATGGTACCTGGCACTTCAGTCTCAATGGTTTACAAATACACGTTACTAACTTCTCAGATAACATATGTCAACTCTTCCTGCTAATATTTTAAATTGATCTATCTATTCATATCATATGACGGCAATCACAGATCTAAACAAATGACATAAATGTGATCATTGCAAATAAAATATGAGGGAGAGGGGATTGATGGAAGCACCTGCTGTCTGCCAAAAATATTTGACTCATCTCCAGATTGAGGAATACAGCACATGAGCATGTGCAGGGACATAATCGTCTGTACGTATTTAGAGTCCTGCTTAGTTGCTCTTAAAAGAAACTGGTATTTGTCATTCAAATAAAATGAAATTAGAATAATAATTCCTCATGGTTCTTTATAATCACCACACTTACCCAATGAGGTCTCACTAAGTGTCAAAATATTTCAGTTAATTCTGCAATTTCTTATTGGCTTCTAAAACACATTATAAATTACTAAATATCAGATTAACAACTTTTTTCTTTTTTTTAATTTGAGATGGAGTTTCGCTCTTGTTGCCCAGGCTGGAGTGCAATGGCGCGATCTCGACTCACCATAACCTCCGCCTCCTGGGTTCAAGTGATCCTCCTGCCTCAGCTTCCCGAGCAGCTGGGATTACAGGCATGTGCCACCATGCCCAGCTAATTTTGTATTTTTAGTAGAGACAGGGTTTCTCCATGTTGGTCAGGCTGGTCTCGAACTCCCGACCTCAGGTGATCCGCCAGCCTTGGCCTCCCAAAGTGCTGGAATTACAGGTTTGAGCCACCGCACCCGGCCCAGATTAACAACTTTTTAAGCAATACTTGAAAAAAATCTTCACTAGCTGATACTAGTAATATATGCCTAAGTATGGCAGCATAAAACTACATCAATTATAATGTGTATATGATGCAAGTATACTTACTAACAGCAATGATAAAATCTTTGTGCAACTTGTAAGTCATCAGTGGTTCTGCAAGGCACCTACAACAGAGAAAGGAAACACATGTTAGAATAGTAGAATCTTTTATTCTCCCCTAAACGTTAAGTGTTTCTTTAAGAATTAGGTGACTGTTATTCATCAATTAAAAATAAAATAACACATAAATAAGTAAATAAAAGAATTGGGTGATTTGGCAGTATGATAAAGTTCCAGTAGTGGGGCCACAGAGAGACCTGAAACGCAGACCTCGAAGACACCAATGTACTTCTTTCCATGACTGTATTAAGAGGGGAGACTGGGAGTCTCCCAATATCAGAATTACCTTACCAGAGGAACAAATATGGGAACAATAGTTAAAAAACAAAACAAAAACAACACAACTTTCCATTCCAATTTGTTATTTAAAAAAGTACATAAAAATCCCATATACATATGGGACAACAAATACTAATTCAGTACTCAAAATATTATATAGCCTTTTAAATTATTATTGAAAAAATCAAGTACAAGTTCCAGAACACTAAATGTAAATGTTACCATGTCATGCTATTTCACCTTATGTAAGGGAACTGAGCTACTGAGTGAAGCTTCTGGACACAGGCTCCAAGAAATCACGTGGTTACTACTCAAGGGGTGAGTCAGAGATTACATCCAGAGTACCAGGAGTTAAACCCTCCTCACCTGAGGTAGTTTTTCAGCCCACTTGTTATCGTCTTATTGTCCCACAGTTCAATATCAATATCAATATCAGGAGGGGATTTAGGAGCTGGAAAGAATAAAACAAGGTGTTTAAATTGTGCAGTTCAAAATATTTCTTATGCAATTATGAAAAATGGGCACAAACGTAAGTAGGTCAAAAGAGAGAGGTATTCATTTCTTAGAATGCCAAGAGTTAACATTAGTACTGTTGTTTGCGTGAATTGATAAAAAGCTGACACTAAACCTCAAAGATATATCTTATGAAATAAGTCTCCCAAATGAAATTATTGCTAATTGTTAACATGACAGAGCACTTACCATGTGCCTAGCATGCTTCTAAGTGCTTTACGGAGATTAACATAGTCAATCCTCACAACTCTTAAGAGGCAGGTACCATTATTATCCCTATTTTTATAAATGAGGAGGCTGAGACACAAAGACGTTAAGCAAATTACTCAAGGTCACAAAACCTGTAAGTGGCTGAGCTAGGATTCCAAATGACTCCAGCTAGCATCCATGCATCTTATTGTATCTCTAGCTTACCAAAGGACACTTGGGGAAAAAAAATACAGTATTATAAAAATGCCCCCTCAAATTCTCATCGTTCATCTATTATAAATGAACATTAAAAACTGAATACATATATGAACTTTAAATATTATTTGAAAATATTCAAAGACAAGCACTAGTCAAAGAAGTCCATACTTTAGATTACCTATAAGAACACAAAAATTATGTAAGTTGCTTCATCCAAAACTTACAAAATGTGGTATTCATGAGTTTTTGAACTTTGGAGTTCACTCCTCCTATTCGGTAGAGTCCTAAAATGGTGATACCTAATAGGAAGGAAAATCACAAGAAAACGGCTTGAGATACAGCTTGGCAAGTACAGAATGTTAAAAACTCAGACATATGCCTAACAAAATTTGAAAGCTACTTATCCAATTTCACAGTCTAACTTTAGCAAAGCTATCCTGGAAATACCCATCAGACTTCTATTTCTCAGAGCAGACACTGAACAGTGATTTGAAAGTCTTTGAAGATCTTCAAAGTAGCAAAGTGTAGCTGCCTATTCACCATTATTTGAATATAAAAAAGCAATGGAGATGGGAAGGGATGATCGATATTACTCATATTCTATTTCTTCAGAGTCATGGAGTCCTCCTGCATGTTGAAAAGTCCTATGGCATTTATATCTTCATTTTAGAGATGAGGAAACAGATTCAGAGAATTCAAGGAAACTACTTCTCAGAATGTTGAAGTGGCAGCACTTAAAATTTAAATATAAGTTTATGGAACTCCAAAACCCAATATGAATTTTGCTTTAGCCAAATTTTCCTAGAAGTGAGTTTAAAGTTTAACTGGAGTGGACTTCAAGACAGAGGTCATGATTAAAACGAAGAAAGGTACCAAAACTGTGGCAGTGACAAATCAGTAAAAGAAAGACTATAAGGAAGGAAGGGAGTGAAGACAAGCTCCTTAAGAATCTTACCTCCTTAATGCTTGGAAAAAAAAAAATCAAAGAGGTGCTTGCAGTAATAAATAATGCAGGGCTTCTCAATAAGAAGTATAGTGAGGCTGTATTAGAAAAAAATCTAAAAAAGAAGTATGCCTAAAGCATGATTTTTAGTAAACTGAAGCTCAAGGTATAGCTATTTGTATACCGATACATACATTTATATTACTCTTAAAATTAATCCATGTTAATGACCAAATACATCTTCAATGATTTATCTACTCTGAGAGTTTTCCATGTAAGAATGAGACACATGACAGGGATGCTGTACCAATCAGGCAACACTGACCTCTTGTTTCCACAGCTTGAATGCATTTTCTCACAAAGTTGAACCCTGCTTCATTCAAATACACTGAAAATAAGAGAGAAATCGCATTAGGTGTTTACGCTGAACTCACATTCCCCCTTCAGTTGGCTCTGTTCACTGGGCCTTTATGACTCAACAGTAGAGAGGTTTTTTCTGAGTCTTCCAAATATTTTGGTTAGAGGCTGACTTTTTATTTTGGGGTAGAAGTAGAGGAGGGAACTTCACCCTCACAGCTATTGTATCAACCTGCTAAGATCCTTCACAGAAAGTATATTACAATGATCTCATCCACTTTTCCTAAAAATAGCATTACTCCTTTACTACGTGTTTTCTTTCAGATGATAGGAGCAAATGCAGTAAGAATAAATCCTTATTATGTATTGAAACTTGTATTATAAAGCCTTTCACATATCCTTTCCCGCGATTCTCAAAACATTATGAGGTAAAGAAAAGGCTCTGCAGTCTTAAGATGATTCCCTGGGTTGCTGAAAACCTCCACTGCTCTCAGTTTTAAGCTCTAGAGTCAGGATTCAAACTCGGGTCTGATTCTACGCTCCATGTTCTATTTTTCATTTTGCTACCATATTTAAAATAATTCAAAACATGCATTGTCAGTCACTAAACATCCCCAAAAGGTCCTAGGATTATGAAATTGCAATTTATTTTCATTGTTTTTTGGCTAGATTTTCTTTGGATCAATTCTAATTTTTTTAAAGGGTTTTGGGGCGAGGTCAAATTAAATTACTTATTTAAAGAGAAAGCATTTATTTAAAAAATACCAACTAACACCCAGAGGAGAAACTGAAAATTTTTTGAACTATGATACAAATTTTCATCACGTGGTAGTGACATGATTTTTAAAATATTCTCAAATAATAAATGAGGAGAATTCAAACCAATACAAATTTAAAACTAACTTCCATTTAAAGACAGTAGATTAAACACATTCTTGTAACTCAAAATAGATCCCCAGACAAAAAAATATATATCAAAAAAATTATGATAAAAATCAAGAAAGGGTAACAGCAACAAACTAAAAACTGAAAAAAATTCTAGGCACAGCAAGCCAATGGAACTGAATTGATTGACAGAAAGGCGTGAAAAATCTGTGCCTAACAATGGAACTAGAGGTACTACTATGAAGAGGTATTTATTATGTGTTGTTAGGTGACAAAAGTAATCGACAGGACAATAAGGCCTATTTTCTCAAAATGTAAAAATTTGAGGGTATGTATGACTGTTTCTATTTTCCTAAGAAAAAACTCCACAAATATATATGCAAACTACTGGTAAGGAGAAAGAGGGCAAAAGTTAGAAATTGTCATTTTTAATTCACTAGGCATTTTGGGATTATTTGACATTTTGAAAAATATATATATATGTGTGTATATATATGTGTGTGTGTGTATGTGTTTAGTACTCTAAAAAGAACTTCAAAACTCTAGAAATAAAAATGTCAAAACTAAAATAAGTATTGCCATCAATGGGAAGTGGCTCATTTATTTCTTTGTCCCCAGTGTCCTAGGTCAAAAGAACAGAACTCAGTGAATACTTTCAGTGAACTCAACACACAAAAATGAATGGCCATGGCATCTCATCAGAGTGCAGCTAATGACCTACCTACATGAGAGTGAAGCTTTTCTTGGACACCAAAGAGAGATTGCTTGCTTCCAATAACCCCAAAATGCCCAGCATAACACTAAGCATTCAGACATTTTAAAATACTTTTTGAATATAGGAGACAGGTAAGATGGAAAAGTGAGGAATCATTTAATTTTCAGTTTTAAGGACAACAACAAAAACTGAGACAAAAAAAAGTAACCCTAGGTAAAAGCAAGACACTAGCATTTTTATATCAACTAAAACTGCAAGTTCCTGACATTTAAAATGTTTGGTACTAGAGGTCACATTGTTCTATTTTTCACTAAAAAGATATATTAAGAGAAAAAGACAACCATTTAAAAAAATTTCAATAGAACTTCCTTTCAACAAAAAGGAATGAAGATAGTAGTGACATAAAACAGAATTTCTCTCTTAAGTATTCATTTTGAGAAAAATAAGTAATAACCAGGCTGTACCTCAAAGTATACTGGGATATTTGGCAGCAATATTCCAGTCTTTTCTAATAAACTGATATCACAAGCTCATCATGTAGAATGACATCTTACTGAGAGTCAGTCTAACTGCAGCGTTACTCTACGGATGCTGCCGTTCTGACATATTCCATGGATCCTGTACTTAGCTCCCGTCATGTGAGTAAATACAACATTATCAACCAATTCAGAGATGTGGAAGAATATACTGTGTTGGCAAAAATAACCATGAATTTTTGTTTCCTTTGACCATCCTTTGCTTTGACTGAAAGAGTAGTTTCATGGTGCAGAGTTAGTGCACAGCTTTGTTTAAAGCCAGGAAAACCTAAGGCCAATTCTCAGCTCTAGTATCACTGCTGTATGTCTGAGGTAGGGGAAATGTGCCTATTATTTTATAAACAAGTTCCTTCATTTATAAAATGAGGGAAGTAACAATACCTAAGTTAAACAGTTGTAGTAAGATGAAGACAAACGGAAGAGTGCCTAACAATGGAACAAGACGAATTCAATGCTAGGTTTTTTTTTCCTATCTGCTCCTGTCTACACATCACTGCTATATGAAGGAAAACATAAGAAGAAATTATAAAAGAAGCCAGTCATTAGTTCTAATTAGATGAGAGGGGCAGTAGTTACTCTTCCACTTATTAGCTCTGTTACTAGGCATGGTTTTGATCTCTGTGCCTCAGTTTCCTCTCCTACAAAATAAAGATAATAGTATCTTCTTCATAGCACTGTTTAAAGATGAAGTAAGTTAACATTTGCAAAGCTCCTAGAATAGTGTATGCTTAGAATATAGTAAGTGCTTTAGAGTATTGGCTCTTATCATTATCATTATTATTGACTAGAGAAGAATGCAAATCTCTACATATGTAAATTTCATGAATAAGGCATCCTTCCTGCAGGGCTAAAATCACTGGGGCTTGAGGGACTGTCAGCCACAAGTGTTGTTTTTTGAACAGGCATATATCACTTTGTCACTTATTTTTAAAATATTCATGGATAGAGCAATGATCTGTTTCTTCAAACAGACATAGATCAGGCATAAACCAGGCAGGCCCTGTGAACCTAGTCACTGAAAAAATAGTAAGTTGGATATTAAGAAATGTCCCTATGTGCTCATTATACTCCAATAAATACAATGAAAAAACATATCCTCTCACTAGAGCTAAACAGACTATAGCAGACTGAAATTACTGTTTACCCATTATCTGTTGTCCCTCCCTGCAAGAAGATTATATTTCTCAGCACCCTTGAAGCCAGGCTTGGTCATGTGATACACATTAACAATGAAATATGAACAGAAGTGACATGTGTCTTTACCCAGCAGCCACTAAGAGCCAGTATGTGGCTTGCAATTTTCTTTTTCCTTTGTCACAGGATCAGCAATGATACAAAGGGAGGCTTCTCTATCAACTCAAGTTCCAGAGTGAAAACAATGTTGAGAGTCACTGCTGACCTATATGGACATGTACTATAAAGAAGAAATGAACCTATATTGTCATCAGCCTCTGAGACTTGAGGATCATCTATTACTAAGCATAACCTGGCCAGTTCTGATTTAGTTGTGTATAACTTAATTCACTGTGGCAAAACTCACTGAAATAAAGGCAATCCCACACAATGAACTTTTCCTCCCTTAACTGGAATATGATGTCCCTTTTGACTACTGACTTATCAATTCACATAACAAAGGCAGCAAAGAGCAGCAGTGGCAGTGCCTGTTGATGGTTGCTTTGCAAACAACCATCAACTATAGACAGCGCCTTCACTTGAGCACCCAGCAATTTCTTCTGAGGTCTGAGAAGAGGACAAGATGGCTAAAATAGTTTGTCTTCCAATGACTGTGGATGAAGTAGTCACAAGGATTGTCATTTCTGAGGGAAGTCAGTGGCAAACACATTCTGTAATGGAAAATGACCAGTTTTCCAAAGCCAAGTAGGGGTTACTATACTTAATGCATCAGTGCTCATGAGAATTCAACTAAAACGTGTCCTCTTAACATCCAAAAACAAAACAAAAAACAAAAAATCAAAAACACCCGGGAACTCTTTCATGTTCAAATGTCGATGGAAAGGGTTATTACTAAATCAAATTGCACCATTAAAAAGGCTGATAATTAATGATAATTCTCCTTCAGTGGAGGACAAGGTACTTCTGGGGCAACAGCAAGGAGAGGAGGATAAGTATCCTACACAGGAGAAATAACGATTGCTGATTTGGGCTCAATGCTTGGCCCAGAGCAGGCAGCCAATACATGCTTATTGATTGATGGCTTGCTAGTTACTGGTTTGTACCAGGATTGCTCAAGTACCTTCTCTGATGGTTTCTATTAGGGTTAGAGTTGATTAGCTTACATAAGCTACATTTGTGAACACTTTCCCAGTCCCAAGCCCTACCCCAGCCCTGTATCTCCTCCATTGTAGAGAGAAGCAGAGGGATACCCAGAATACAACTACTACCAAATTCTGTAATATGAGAATTAGAATTCTATAACATTAATGATACTTGGCCTTCATGGGTGAGGGTAGAAGCAGAAGACAGACTAACTTAATCAACTTAATATATTCAATCAAAAGTTAAGCCTAAACCTTTTTTTTTCCCCCTCTGTAAACTGTTCAGGGATAAAGCTTTTATTAAAACCTTAAAAAAATTTCCATAAGGCAGTTTAGCAGCACAAAAGCTATTAATCTCAACAGAATTCAAACAGCCATGAGGAAAGGAAAAAGAATAGTCTTCCACAGAGCTAACAAAGCAAAAGTCCTTACACCTTCAATTTCCTAGCAATTCAAAACCTAGTATGTCCTTACAGATGTAATCTACTTGACCTTACAGTACATTCTCAGGGTTGACAAAACAAAGCAACATTTGTCTTTAATTTTTAATTCACTTTGCTGATCTCCTGTTTCAGATTAAAAGGTCCCTTATCACAGATAACTAATATCATGCTGTATGTTAACTGAAATAAATAAAAAATAAATTAGTACATTTATCAGTGTTCATGATACCTACTGGACCTTTTCTCTGCTCCTTAAGGATGGGCAGTTAACTCTCCATAGCCCTGGCCCAAATTCTTCTTTCATTCTGCTCTGCCCATGAAGAGCACTTGAGCTATGACATCTTCTTGGGCCTCTGTGATAAAAACAAAACTGTAACTGATCAAAGATCAGGGGATTATATGGCAAAGAAGGAGGATGATAACCTAGGGACATCTGAGAACTTCCAGAACCAAACTATCTAAACCACAATATGAAGCTCAAGAACACTCATAACAGATGGTAACTGCATAGAATGAGAAGAAGAAAAAGCTTATTGCTGTGGAGAATAGATACACGGGTACACTTGAGGAAAGCCACTTAAACACACAAGCAGAAATTTAGAGCTGTTGGGAAATTTCAAGACTATCTTCTGTTCCAATCCCTTCAATTTTGTATAAGGACTGAATGTTAGGTGACTTTGTCATTACACACATAAATATTGACTTTTATTAGCGGAAAGTCAATGGAAAAGAACTTCCTTTTTCTTACTCGCAGTACCTGGAGTAGAGTAGGTGCACAATGGAATATTTTTGAACTGACTGCATGAGAGAATGAGATCTAAGTGCCTTTTCTTTCACAGTGCTCACCTTCTCCAGACCCAGGGTTGAAGGACCAGCTCAGAAGCCATCACACAAAACTCATATTTGAATGGGGACAAGGCTCAGGGCACCAATTGAGAATGTCAGAGAAAGAAAGCCTAGAAGAAATGTTAACTGCTTTTGCCTCTGTAAATGACTGTTCCAAGATGGAGGTCTTGGGGCAGGAAAGGTATGTCATAAAATGTAATTTGTTCCTTTGAAAGATGTATTCAAATGGCAGAACTACAGAAAACATATGGGTGAGCTACTTTTTACCAAATGTCCCCAGTGTCATGGCTTGAGGACTAGTTTAGTGCTAATCTTAATTGAATGGCATCTGTTTAATACTGATGATAGATATTACTACTACAAAAATAAATTCATTCCCAAAGTCTTACAATTTCATGGATATTGCAGCATATTTTACAACCAGAAAAGTATTTGTAAATTCAATACCCTGTCATTGACCAATATTTTATTTTCTTATTTGATGTTTTTTCATAAAGGTGATTCAAGCTTTCCTTTTCAAGTCTCATTTATGGCATCCATACTTTGAAAATGGTAAATTAAGAGTAACTATTAATACAAGGTAGGAAGACTTTTGCATGTTAGTCTCACAAAGAGTAGCATGAAACTACAGTCACAGCATAGTTTTATTCTTCATTCTATGGCATTTGTTCTCTGTAAATTCATACTATGGCCCTATTTTAGAACATTAGATATTTCTCACACTGTTGCTTGTAGGATTTTCAGTGAAGGCACAGATGTTATGATTGCTTCTAAATGGCTGGCATTCAAACAAACGTTTACCTAAGTTATATATTTTACCATCCTAAACTTCATTGTCTTCAGCAGTTCAAAAACACAAATACATATTATGCAAAACTGAGTTTCCAAAGGACAACAAGAGTATTTTAGAATAAGTGGAAGCCATCTGAATTATGGAGGATATAAATGAGTACTCTTCGAAGTGGCCGGTGAGTTAGGGCTGGTACTGGTTTCCAATACCAGTTACAGGAGAAGTTACATACTGAAATTGATGCAATGCTACCTTTAGGGGAGTCAAATATCAACTAAAAAGAAATACAAGATCTCAAGAACAGGATGATGTACAAAAAAATGGTTAGAGCGCCTGACAAAAAGAAAGATATAAACTGATTTAAGCACTTAACACAATGAGCTCACATGACTTATTCAAGACCTAACAGGTATAAGAATTTCACAAT
Source organism: Homo sapiens (assembly GCF_000001405.40). Taxonomy (NCBI): domain Eukaryota; kingdom Metazoa; phylum Chordata; class Mammalia; order Primates; family Hominidae; genus Homo; species Homo sapiens. The sequence continues at coordinate 100,952,995 of NC_000011.10, read as the reverse complement.
CACTGAAACACAAATTTACCCGAGGAGTTCGACAGGAGTTTGATACCAACATGGCCAACATGGTGAGGCCCCATCTCTACTAAAAACACAAAAATCAGCTGGGCACTGGGCGTGGTGGCATGTGCCTGTAATCCCAGCTACTTGGGAGGCTGAGGTAGGAGAATTGCTTGAACCCAGGAGGCGGAGGTTACAGTGAGCTGAGATCTTGCCACTGCACTTGAGCCTGGGCAACAGTGTGAGACTCCATCTCAAAAAAAAAAAGCCTGACTTAGGTGAATTAGTAATACCACAATGTCCACCCCAGAGGTGCTGGCAGCTAAATTCTGGAAAGTGAGTCCAATCCTGTGCCTTTGAGCCAGGGTTTCTTTCATTGGTAGCACCTGCCATAGTCTTGACTTTTCAACAGGGTAGTGATTCTGTTTGGGTGAGCAAATTTGAATCCCCATGTGTGTGACAGCTAAAAATAAGTGTATTTTTCAATAAGTTTAGTTTATGCAAAAGTAGTAAGACCTTTTGAAATCACTATGCAATTGAGTGTATTTATTTAGAAGGTTTACAATACTTAATTTCAACATAATACTTAATCTGCATTTATAAAGTGATTTATTAGATTAAAAAAGTTGCTAGGTGTTGAAAAGATTATATTTGTCAGGATCACAAATCAGTCTAATTAGGGTGACTTTGAGAGAATAAAATTCACTATTTTGTCATCAGTTGATATGTCTTAAGGAAACTTTACTAATTAAATGTACAAATGGGAGAATTCTGTCAGATTTATGAAAACAAAATAAAGTGAAAACGACTTAGTTTTAAAAGTTAGTGCAATTACAAATAAGATCTGTATACTGATTAAAAACAGGCTTCAAGTAAAAATATGGCTTAAAATAAATCAAATATTAAAAATAAAACTTAAAAATAAAGCTTAAGATTCATAACTTTAAGCACTAAAGTAGAAGCTTGTAATATTTCTTCTGTAACCAAAAATCTTCCCTTGGGTAATAAAAGCCTACTGGTACTAATGAGAAAAATAAGAGCACATCTGTGCTCAGCACATGTCTCAGGAAAGGCCTGTATTGACTACTATGGAGAAGAGACGGGTTCTGTCACAAGGAGCTCAGAGTACTGGGTAGGAAACTAATATACCATACAAAAAGCCAGAGTGTGAGACATGATATAAACACACACACTCTAGCACTGCTATTTTTCTGAAACGCACACCATTTTATAATTATAATTGAAGGCACAGTGATGTTTCTGGTGGCTGACACTGCAGGATACCTATTTCCAGAAGAATGATTCTGTACTGCATGAAGATGCAGACTCCCTCTCCATCATAAGTACATTAGTTTTGGTGGTACATTTAATTAAGCATCAGTATATTCTGATCAACTTGACTATGCCACCATTCAGAAGCCCTACTCAACACTGTATATAGGTGCAATTGTCTTCCATGAAGGATTTGTCCTTGGGTAATTTGAATTTGAAAGGACTAACCTTATAGTGCATATCAACAATCAAACTAATGTTAGAAAACACATTTCACACTCTTCTCAAATGCAATTTATACAAAAGATTATTTTTTAGGTAATTATTTAGAATGAACATTCAGTACATACAAAACTCTCACCATTTGGTTAATGTATCTGTGATTAGATAAAAGTTGGCAATAAAGGATTTTATACTAATCACTTTCCTTGATTCCAATAAGGAAGTAAATGTGAGAATAAAAACTGGAAATAGTTTTTTAAAATATTATTTAAAAATAATTTTTAAATTATGTTATTTAATTATTGAAACATCTTTTATATCATGCATTTTCTTTTGATAATTTCTGAAGTTAATCACTAGAAAGCATTTAATTCAGATAAAATAATAGGTTTTTAATACATTCAATATTTATAACTTTCAAATGAGTGCTTTCCTAGTTTATATTTATTCCATTCTAACTCATATTTCCACAGCAATCTAAATGTCAGGGTTGGCCAGGCACAGTGGCTCATGCCTGTAATCCCAGCACTTTGGGAGACCAAGGTGGGAAGGTTAATTGAGGCCAATAGTTAGAGACCAGGCTGGACAACAAAATGAGACCTCATCTCTATTAAAAAATAAAAATAAAATAAATAAGAAAAGTAAATGTCAGGGTTATTGAGTTTGTTTGAAAAATAAATTTAGAAGCCATAAGACAAAATCCATTGCATTACATAAAACTTGGAATTGCTTTCAAAGTTATATACATAACCCTAGAAACAAATACACAAATTAATTTTAAATATCAAGTAAAATGACTATGTAAAGCACTTATGAAAATACCCTAAACTAACCACAGATAAAAGATAGCAAGAAGTTGGCAGGTAATTAAAGAGGATTCAGAACATGATGAAAAACATATAAACTGTGTTTATAAAGAATGGCTACAAACTAATGATTTACTAATAATACAGTAAAAACATCTTTTCCAACATATACCATGTGTAATGACAAGGTCCTTATATTTTACATTCTTAGCCACTATCCACTAAAACCAGCAAGAAGTGTTTATGTCTGCAGTCTTATACCTGTAAGAAAACTGGAGCAGAGAAAATAAGACAAAGAAGCTCTCCACTGTGTTATATATTTATATTGATATAGATAAATAAATACAGTATTTATATATAATTATATATGATTTAGCTTGATTATAATTATATATTTATTAATATATAATATATTTAATATATAATAAAAATATAATATAATTATATATTATATATTTTATATAAATAATTGAGCTAAATATCAACTTTCTCAAATCTCTATCAGAGATAAACCAAGGCATGTAAATAAGTAAACACCAAAGAAATAAAAATTAACTTTTGTTACTGTAACATCAGAAGTTTGTGGTTTTAACATGAGAAACATTTTAAATAAAAATTTCAAAGTTGCTGTACCATGAGATCAATGGTGTTATACTATTTCCCCAGAATACTTACAATCACCTAATGCTTTTGTGTTAAAAATAACTTCATGATAAAATTTTAAATAACTATTAAAATGACTTACTTTCTTCTTTCTTGCTTATAATGGCAGGCAGAGTATAAATCTAAAAAACAAAGGATGTCCATTAGTTACTTCCAGTTAATGACCCAGCACAAAAGATTAGCAAGGTGATATCTGTACACTAATAGATGAAAAGAGTGTCTTGATTTCAAGGTCCTACAACTGCTGTGTCCACAGCACCACCTGTGTACCATCAACCAACTTCCTTCCTGTGGTTCACCCACCCTCACTTCCCACTCCTTTTCCATCCGTGGCTGTGCTGCCCTGGACAAGGTTCTACCTCCATCTCATTTAAGCATCTTATTCTCTGCCCCAGTATGATGCATAATGAGCCTTTCTCAGGAAGTATCTCATAATGGATTTCCGGAATTGCTCCTTCTTCCAATTTCCTGCTTAGCCTGTTCTCAATGTACACAATCCTAACTTGTACATTGTTGGGCTAACAAACTATTCCCTAAATTTGCTCTAAGTCAGGGCTTCTCAACTATTTCTGGTAAAGAGTGAATTTTCTTTTAAATCTATTATTCACATTTGTGTAAAATATAATAAAATTGAAATAGAAAATAACAAAAAAATCAATGCAGAGTTCCAATTTTTAAATTAAATTTAACAGGCTTAAAATAACCCAAGTGGCTACAGGATTTTCTAAAGGCTGAATCACAATTTCTGTACTGATCTTACTGTGGACTGGTAACACAGTTTGAGGGAGGGTCTCAAAGTCTGAGGACCACACTTTGTTTGGCACTATTGCTGTACAGGTTCTTTGCCATCTAAAGAATGGTTCTCAAGTAACAGGATGGCGACTCTTATTTCCTCTGTGTGTTCACCCTCTACTGATCTAGTAACAGTGTTCTTTAAGAAAACAGACAGTGATGAATGATTCAGCCTCCTTTTTACGTAAGCCTTCCTATTTTTTGTAAGTAGACTATCATACAATTTCAAAATAACTATTAAAAATGGGGATATGTATGGAAGTGAAAATGTCAAGCCACAGGCAGTTTTATTAAGTTATACTTTTTAAAAATGGTCTTGATTAGAGAATCAGTTCTTACCCTGAACCTTGTTCATCACTCTAATCACATGCCTAGCACAGGCCTTGCAAAGACTGGGCATGCGATCATTATTAACTGAATAAGCTAACCTAATGGGTGGAGCCAAGGTGATGAGTGTAAGTAATTTTTTAAGAAGTAATTTTAGGGTTTTAAATTAGTCCCAAAAGTCCCCTTATAAAATAAGTCAGAAAGGTAGAGTTATGGGCCATGAGTGAGACTAGGAAACCATAAAAGTCTCTACTCCCCTGATTTCCTTTTTTAATATTTTCAATTATACTACAGGCAAAACATTGTATACTATGAAAAGAATTTCCATACATTATAATTATTAGGACAATAAAACCTAAATTATAGAATGTGTCATAGTCTTACCGGTTCCTTCCCATCCATGGCTTCAAGCCAGAGTTTCCTATTAGCTTCTGAGAAGGCCTGTAACGTGATGATCCCATGCCTATTTAAAAACAAATATTTTCTATATTTACACATTTACTACTTTTTAAATTCTCAGTTAACTAAAAAGATAAAATTTGAAGAAAAAAAGTTAAGAGAAAAGAGAAATGAAGACAGAGGAGAAAAACATAGGAATTTTTCTAAAAAAGAAAAAGACTGAAGTATAATACTTTCAGAAAAATCACTAGGCATGCAAAAAATGTTTTTAATTCTAATGATCACAGGTGATAAAATCATTAAGTGTTTTTGGTACAGGACAGTCTGAAGGAGACTAGTTTCAAACTATTTCCCTTGAAATGATCAAAAAGGATGAAAAAGTTACATTCTTCAAAGCCATCTATGAATTCCACAATATGAGAACTTGACCCTGATGTGGTACAGTCTAGTCACTAAAAACAATTACAATTAATATGGAACAATGTGGAAAGCCTCATATCATAACTAGGTAACAGGTAAAAAGACACTAAAACCAAAGCATTTCTCTGTACCATGATGACAATATTGAAATGAATTCATTTAAAAATAATTCTCTCCCATGCAGTCATTCTGAAATAGTTACTTGAGGATATACTTCAAGAAAGAAACAAAGACTAGGGAGAGGAAGGGAGAAAACTAGCATATGGAGGAAAAGATATAAAATATTAGAAACAAAGGAATTAACTTAGTTAAACAGAAAATTGAGGGATCTGTGAAGAACATTCAGATGGAAATTTTATTATAAATATTTTATAATTAAAAACCTGGAATGACAAATAATAACATACATCTCTTCTGCAAACAAGAACACAGATCATGAGAATCTTGAATATATATCAAGATAATCTGATGTTGGAGAATTTAAGCCAGTGTAGTAATACCAAAAATAAAATATTGAAAATCAGTATTTGTTGGATATTTACTATGTGACAGGCACTGTGTTATGTTTCCTTAATTCTCTCATTTAATCCTGAAAACAATTCTTTGAGGTGGGTACTTATTATCCTTAATTTAAAGATGAAAAAACCTAAGTACAGAGTTTAATAAAGTGCTCCAAGGTTATATAACCGGAATGTGTTAAGACAAAGCATTAACATGTTGGTATTTGTCTACATAGAAAATCCAGAAATATCTACACAAAACTATTAAAACTAATAAATAGTTCAGCAAATAGGTCAGATAAGAGAATTATATATAAATAAACTAACAGCCTCTTTATGCAGTAGTCTTAACCATTTAGGAAAACAAAATTCAACTCATAAAGAAGAATCCTATTCAAAACAACAATAAAAAGAAGGTACTCAAAAGTAAATTTGAAAAAAGATATGTAAAATATTCAAAAAGAGGTTAATTCCACACCCATTGAAGACTTTACTGCAACTTCAGTCAAAATCCCAAAAGATATTTTGAGAAACAAGGAGAAACTTAGTAAGTGGATCTTAAAAATCATAAGAACACAGAGCAAAAGAGTCAACACAGTTTACAGCAGCCTAGGAATACAGTCATTGCCCTACTAGATACAGGCAAACCTTGATGTATTTCTCTTTGCTTGATTGAGCTTTGCAGATACTGCATTTTTAACAAATTGATGGTTTGTTTGTGTCAACCCTGTGTTCTGCATGTCTATCAGCACCATTTTTCCAAGAGCGTTTGCTCACATCGTGTCTCTGTATCACATTTTGGTGATTCTTGCAATATTTGGAATTTTTCATTGTTATTATATCTATCATGTGATGTATGAACAGTGATCTTTGATATTACTATTGTCATTATTTTGGGGTGCCATTAACCATGTCCACATAAGATGGCAAACAGTCAATAAAAGTTGTGTGTGCCACTGCTCCACTGACTGGCCATTTCCCCATCTCTTTCCCTCCCCTTAGCTTCCCTATTCCCTGAGATACAACAATATTAAAATTAGTCCAATCAATAATCTCACAATGACCTCTAAGTGTTCAAGGGAAAGGAAGATTCACATGTCTCTCATGTTAAATCAAAAGCTATAAATGACCAAACTTAGTGAGAAAGACATGTTGAAACCCAAGATAGCCTAAAAACTAGGTCTCTTGTGCCAATCAGTTAGCCAAGCTGTGAATGCAAAGGAAAAATTATTAAAGGAAATTAAAAGTGCCACTCCAGTGAATACACAAACGCTAGGAATCAAAACAACCTTACTACTGACATGGGGAAAGTTCTAGTGGTGTGTATAGAAGATCAAACCAGCCATAACATTCTCTTAAGCCAATGCCTTTTCCACAGCAAGGCCCTGACTGTCTTCAATTTTATGAAGGCTGAGAGAGGTGAGTAAGCTGCAGAAAAAAAGTATGAACCTAGCAGAAGTTGGTTCATGATGTTTGAGGAAAGAAGCCATTTGCATAATATAAAAGTATAAGATGAAGCAGTAAGAGTTGATGTAGAAGCTGCAGCAAGTTATACAGAAGATCTAGCTACAATCATGGATGAAGGTGGCTACAGTAAACAACAGATTTTCAATGTAGATGAAATAGCCTTCTGTTGGAAGATGCCCTCATTTAAGACTTCCACAAATAGAAAGAAGTCACTATCTGGCCTCAAAGCTTCAAATAGGCTGACTCTTGTTAGAGGTTAATGTAACTGGTGACTTAAAGTCAGAGCCAATGTTCATATATCATTCTGCAAATCCTAGGGTTCTTAAAAATTATGCTAAATCTACTCTACCTGTGCTCTACAAATGGAACAATAAAGGCTGAATGACAGCACATCTGTTTACAGTAAGGTTTACTGAATATTTTAAGCCACTGTTGAGACCTTCTGATTAAAGAGGTTTATTTCTAAATATTACTGCCCATTGACAATGCAACTAGTCACCCAAGAGTTCTGATAGAGATTTAAATGGAGAATAATATATTCATGCCTGCTGACACAACATATATTATGTAGCACATGGATCAAGGAATAAGAGGAATAAGTTAGACTTCTGAGTCTTATTATTTAAGAAACACATTTCATTAGGCTTTCACGGCCATAAGTAGTGATTCCTCTAATGGATCTGGGTAAAGTACACTGAAAACCTTCTAGAAAGGATTCATCACTTTAGATGTCATTAAGAACATTTGTCCCTCGTGGGAGGAAGCCAAAATATCCACATTAACAGCAGTTTGAAAGAATTGATTCCAACTCTCAGGGATGAGTTGGAGGGGTTCAAGACTTCAGTGGAGGAAGTTACTGCAGATGTAGTGAAAATAGCAAAAAAGCTAGAATTAGAAGTGGAGCCTTCTAGAAAATGTGACTTTATTGCTGCAATCTCATAATAAAACTTGAAAGGACTAGTTGCTTCTTATGGATGGGCAAAGAAAGTGGTTTACTGAGATGGAATCTTCTCCGGGTGAAGATGCTATAAACGTTTTTGAATGACAACAACGGATTTAGAATATCATATAAACTTAGCTGACAGTGCAGTAGGGCAGGGTTTGAAAGGACTGACTCCAATTTTGAAAGACGCCCTACTGAGTAAAATGCTATCAAACAGCATTGCATGGTACAGAGAAATCTTTGTTGAAATGAAGATTCAATTGATGTGGCAAACTTTATTGCTGTCTCATTTTAAGAAAATGGCCACAGCCACCCCATCCTTCAGTAACCACCATGCTGATCAGTTAGCAGCTACCAACATCGAGGCAAGATCCTTCACCAGCAAAAAAATTACTACTCACTAAAGACTCAGATGACCATTCACATTACTTAAAATATTTTAAGGGATGTATATTTTTTACACATAATGCTATTGCACACTTAATGGACTGCAGTGTAGCATAAACATAACTTTTATATGCACCGAGAAACTCAGAAATTTCTGTGACTCAGTTTATTATGATATTCGCTTTATTACAGTGGTTTGGAACCTAACCTGCAATATCTCTGAGGTATGCCTGTAGCTATAGGCTGTAGTTTATGAGCATATATAGAAAGTCATCATATACAAAGGGTATACATGGATACACACAATAAGCTAGTGTATTTAGAATATTGTGGCACTAATGCAGGAGAAGAAAGATAGATCATGGATTACAGAGCAGAGAGCAAGAAGCATACCCATTCTTATTGTAAACTTAAATTATACACTTAGATTCACGACATTTATATCTCTTCCAATACTTTGGGCTAAGAATACCCGGAACAGTGCTTTGCACACAGGAGGCATCCTGGAGGCATTAAACTTAGTTGGCTGAAAGAAGCTTATAGTATTCCCACCTGCATCTTATTCCTTAGAAGCAAGGCCACCAAGCTTCCAAAGCCCACCAAAAGGCTGATCCTGGAGCCATGAAATATGCCATTGGATTCCTTCATGATGATGGGGACCATGAGGCCACTACATGCACTTTCTCCTAATACAGTCATTTATATTGATTTTTCAGATTCTGCTTTGAGTGATGCTACTGTTTTCTAGCATCATGGATCTGATTTGCTTTTTCGAAAGCATCATGTAATAACAACATGAAAGAAAGAGATAAACATGTATACTGTTTTTTAAAAGACTAAAAAACACTTGAATGCTGTTTCATGTTTATATTTAAATACAGAAAGAGACACCGTTTAGCTTATGAAAAAAATAAAGTGAAAAGAACAGCTCAAACCTTTCAACTACTTCTATGTCAAAGCAGAATCGTTTGTCAATTGAATCTGTCTTTCGTCGGATACAAGATTTTAATTTAAACATTTCCGGTGAGCTAGTAACAAGGCCATTCTGAAACAAGAAGAGTACCACAGTATTAACATGCTGACAAGTGAATTGAAATATATTAAATATGTGAGCTCAAGTTGCCACATTAAAATGTTTAACAGTATAGGTTATGTATAAAGGTCACAATCATACCCTGTCTTTTTTTATTCCTGATGTTAGCTGTCCGATCATAATACATAAAACCATTTAATTAATGGCATATGCATGTTTTATTTAAAAGAATTATGTAACATGCCTGTCCAGTAACCTTCAACATATTTACTTACAATGTTAAATTATACTATAATGTACAATCCCTCAATTCTTAGATTTAGAAAACGTATGAAGTTACACAGTCACTTAACATCACAATTGGATATACAGAGTGCTTGTTAGGATACATTTGGTGCTCTTAATCAAAACTCCCTGGATTGCAAAGAGATTAGTATCATATGTGTGTCTTTGTATTAGAGCCTTAAATGATAACTAGCTCAGGTTTACAAGAGAGCTACGGAAATAATATAGTTCCAGTATATACATGATATAATAGTATTGCTACCATGTATATCAGGTTGGTGCAAAAGTAATTATGGTTTTCCCATTAAAAGTAATGGGAAAAAAAGCAATTACTTTTGCACCAACCTAATACAATGTGATTGTTTTGCTGGTAACCCACTGCTACACCGCTACTAAAACTGACTCTCTGGACAAGATCCAACATAGGCCACATTCATAGGAATTCTCTTTTGTCACTGAGATGCCAGTCTATGTTAAGGGGAACATTTACAGAATGTATGGTTAATTCTATCTTTGGCTACAAATGTCATCAATTGATTAATAGAACTTTGGCTTGGTCTACTTACATTATTAACTCACTGTCACATAAGTTGGATTTACAGTAGTAACTATTAGAGTAGAAACTAGGTGTGTTATGGCACTTAGTAACTTCCCAGGATGGTAGCAACTAAGGTTTCTTTTTCTCTGGTTATGTTCTCCTTTATTTTATGTCTTTCAGTTTGAATTATTAGACTCTGATGAATGCCCAAGTACAATAAGTTTCAACTGACATATTTGAGTATGTGTCTAAGTTAGATCAACATTTACCTCTGCCATGATCTATGCCACTAATTGGGCGAGGCACTTACTTTATACTAACTTTATTTCCTAATCTGTTAAAATAAGGCTGGACTAATTATCTCTAGTGTAACTCCCAGCTTCAGCGTGCTCAGATTGTGACCTAATTAATTCAAAAGTTCAATCATTTGCCATATTCATACTTTAACTCACAAGAAGATTATATGCCACAGACAATAAAGCTCTCTGCAGCATTTCCTCAAACAAAGTACATTGTATTCTATACTGTTCACTAGCCATGTGAGACCTTCAGTGACCAATTTACTTTTCGGGTAAATGAGCATCTATTGGGTTCTTCTGAGAAAGCTTGTTAGCCAGCATTTTGGTTAACAGTATGCAGTGCAGAAGGGGACAAGGCATGCAGGGGCAAATGTAGCCTCCCTCAGAGGCCACTCAGGGGAAAGATACAGAATCCTTGAGCCTGTTCCAGCCACTGACAGTCCCTTCCTGGGCTGCTAGCCAACCAACAGCATAGACAAATAACTCTGCTGCCGGAAATGTGAGATGACACCTCTGTAATCTACTGAAGGATCCCTACATTTAACTCGACTGCTTATAAATATGCCATGGCCAAGTTAAAGGAAGACCCTGGCTACTCTTTTCAAGTCATTCACGTCACAAAAATGAGAGAAAACCTTTGACCTTCTATTTTTTTGTAAATGTGTACATGTTAACTAGAGAAACAAATGTGATTTTTTTGTTTTAATTCCATTACTTAAATAATGAACAGTTTAAAAAACAAACAGAAAACAAAACTAACTCACCATTTTCCCACTGGATTTCATTTCTGAAACACTCATTGTAAATGTTTTACTTCCCTTATCATATGTACAATAATGTTTAATCCATGTAAAACCAAGCGGTCCTAATGTAAGGAAACAAAAAAATTTCAGATTTTGTTAATAAATGATTTGTATCAAAGTTTGCACATTCTCCAGTGCTATGATATACAACCGATTATCTCTCCTATACCATGCTAGTTTGTAACATTTACTGTGCATGAGAAAGAACAGAGGGACAGCGGTATAGGGTAGAGTGTCTTAGAATCAGACAACGTGGCTCTGCTTGCAGCTCTGACACCGACTTTGTAAAACTTGTGAGTTACTTTGGATCTGAACTTCAGTTATCCCACCTGAAAAAGTGGTATACTTGTACTCCATAGAGGTAGGAAGAATGAGGAATGAGTCCGAGTTGTTTAAAATGGTGTCCTTACTTCTACCTGTATACTTTACTCTCATAACTGTCAGAAATATAGTGTTAAAAATTTAGCCAGGCCATTTCACTCCTTTGTTCAGAACCCTCTAGTGCCTTCCCATCTTACCCCCGATAAAAATCAAAGAGCCTATTATCCACAAGGTTCCAAGTGAGTGGCCTCCCACATTCTTTTCTCCATCTCACATCCCACTGCTTTCTGCCTTGTGCACTCAGCTCCAGCTACACTGCCCGCCTTGCTGGTCTTTGAACACAATGGAGGCATTCCTACCCAAGGGCATTTGTAGTTGCTGTTTCCCAGGCCTGGACTACTTTTCCTTTAGATACCTGCATGACTTGCACTGTTACCTCCCTTCAGGCCTTTTCCTAAATGTCACTTTCATAATATGGCCTTTCCTGGAGAGATACCTAAGATCTAAACACCCTCACCTTAATACTTATCTCTCTTTCTTGCTTTCATTTCTTCTTAGCGGTTATCACTGTCTGAAATATGATTTGTTTTACTAATTTAAGCCATTTATTGTGTGTCTCTGCCACAAGATTTTATGAATCTATGTGAGCAGGAACATGTGATGTTCAACTGACTAGAATATGAGTTCTTAATCCTTACAACAGAGCCAGACAGATAGTTGTCAGTCAATATTGACAAATGAATAATGAATAAAGGAATGAATCACGCATCTAAGACTTCACTAAGTTCTAAGACTCTACTGACCTTAGAGTTATTTCCTCTTACTCCTAATCTGGAAAAAACAAGTTCAAATTACTCTTTAAAATGAAAATAATTTCCACTATTTATATGAGAAGAAACTTGTATGTGTAATGTTCACTTTCTTTTCCCCCAAAAATACCATGTAACCCTTTCCCATAGCACCCATGTTATTGTCCAGTATTCTCCTTAGGGAATTTATCAGGGCGTAGAATGCATTGGTAGTTCAATGTTTCCATGACCAAGGTGGAAGACCTTCAGTTTTCCCATAGGGAAGCCAAGTATCCTGCACCCAAACACCATAGTGGACTGAGTGGATCGAAAATGGAGCTTGTTTTCTACATATGAATAGCATCTCCATCCAGGGACCCATCTTGCTTAACATCTGAATTTTTCTAGCAGCTACTATGCACATGTTTTTGCTGGCTTCATTTCAGAACCATGTTTAAAAGAAAGAAATTGAAATTTAAAAAAGTACCTCTTGAGAAAAGTGTTTCATGAGCCATTTAATTTTTTTCTTTAATAATAATGCCCTCGGTATCGAGTTTAATACTTAAGCCACTCCAGATTTTAAAATTACAGGGTGCAGTCATATACTTTATAATCACAAAAGATTATTACAATTAACTGCAATTCCATTTGGGGACCATTTCACACTATAATACTTAATAATACTTGTTGATAATTCTGTTACATGTGATGTAAAATACCTAAAGACTTACGAGCTAATTAGTGGAAAGTGACTGGATAGAAATTCTCGTATGTAGTGACTTCATTATGTAGGTAGCAATATATGAAGCAATATTAGCTATAATTTTAAAATATAGCTGCTGCAATGCTCTGACATTTTAAACCAAAGACCCTTTTTCCCGCCTCCATCTGAAGTTCAGGACCTCCTGCATTTAATCCTCGAGTTTGCTGCAAACACATGCTGCTTTCTTTAAAGTTGACTGGCACTAGGCCAGGGCAGATGTTCTTAGACAAGCAATTCTACAGTTCCCAAAAATGTCTGGGAAAATAAAAATAGATTACAGCTCTAAAGTTGCAAAATAAAAGATGTTTAATTATTTTACCCAGTAATCATTTAAGGTTGCTGAGATGAATATTTGCAGTGCGGAAGGGGAATTAACATTCATCGAATACCTACTAAGTGCCCATATTTTATCTAAGAACCTTTTATATCAGACATTATAAAGAACATTTTAAGAAAACTGAGCCTGTGACCTACAGATGGCAATACTTTCATCAATAGGGCATGTGACTGAAGTTGTTCTTTTTAGAGAAATGATATTTTCAAGCTATTTTAGAATTAAATGAGATAAATATAAATTACAAAGAATAGTAAGAACCCAATAGTAAGCATAGTATTATTCTTATTGACACTACCGAGAATAGAGACATTTTACATATGACATCTCTAATTCTTGCAATATCATTATGACATGGGTTTAAATCCCTCTCTTTTATAAATAAGGCAAGACTGAGCTCAGAAAACTATTGGCACAAGTCACAGGTCAGCACAGGCATGGAATCCCAATATAGCTCTAACTCTGGAACCCCTGGCTCTTCCGGTTACACTGAAGTCTAGCAGAATGTGATTTAATGCATGCCTCGAGGTGGGTAACATAAACACCACATGCTCAGGTAGAGTGGAACTCTGTGTCCAAACAATGAGCTAAGCCTACCCCATCACATCCATCTCCATTTATCACACAATTTATGGCTTTGATATTTATTTATTTGATATTGATCACTGGCTGCTAATTGTATAAGTGTGTCTTACATTTTCAACTACAGAATAAAAATCTTGAAGCCAAATATTTATCTCATTTTTGTCCCCCACAGAACTTATCCACCCAGTGATAGCAAGTGCACAATCGATACATCTTAGTAAACTGGTTAGATTGTTTTAATTGTAAACGCTTTCAAAGATCCCAAGTTAGAAGGGGCTTTGGATATTTGCTCCTCATATAAAATAATTCCAAAAGCATATAAATATATTCCTTTTTCTTTATATCCCTTGGCAAAGGGAATAGGAGAAGATGATAGGTGGGAACAGACAGGAGGAAGGGATTATAATGAGGCAAGAAAGAACTTCTGAAGGTGATAAATATGTTCATTATGTTGTAGTGTGGTGATGGCTTCACAGGTGAATGAATGTGGCAAAATTTATCAAACTGTATGTTTTAAGCAGGTGCAATTAATTTATGCCAATTAGACCCAATAAAGCTATAAAAATAATGCAGCAGATGCAGATCAAATCAAGATGGAAATTGTCTTGGGGGAGGAAAAATATCAACAAAGAGAGTGCTAATAAGGAGAAATGAACTGTGAGACCCTCCAATTCAGACACTGCTAAGGGTCCATCAAAACAAGGACACAACCAAAGAAGCATTTTAGAAGGATCTGCGGGAAGCACTGTAGAAGACGCATTAGATGATGGGCAAGCCTGGAGGTAAAGGGTGAACAGTTAGGAGGTCACTGCAAGGGTCTCACCTGGGCGAAGGCAGTTGAGATGGAGAGAAGGTATGGAATCAAAGGATATCAAGAAGACAGAATAGACAGGTTTGTCCCAAGGCTACAGAGAAACACTGGTACTAAGGATGGATTGCCTTGACTTATGTAGCCTAGGAGAGTGAGGGGTGCCATTAAGAGAGATTAAAAAAAAAAAAATCAGAGAAGAGGTCAGTACCACAAAGGGCTTTATCATCAGTCTAGAATGACCCAGAGAAGTTAAGCATCTTAGAACAAAAGATACCATCATCAGGTAAGCGCATAAAACACTGCGCTTAGTCCATCCATGTAACCCCCAAATTATTGAAGGGCCTATGCTTATAGACTGACCCAAATGTCCAACAGCTTGACAATAGGTAGGCAAACCATGGTTCCAACCAGTGGGTGCACTCACTACCAAGTAGGACCGAATATGATATATTTGAAGATTATGTACAAAATAATATTGCAAGCTAATCTAAATCTTTCCTGTTTAGAATAAAATATTGTGTGCCCACAAAGATTTCAGCAAGTGTGTAACACCTAGAAAAGTATTCAAGAAATAAAACATAATCAGACCATAATGAATAAAAAATCCAAGGATGGTACCTCCTCTACCACTTTCACGTTTACTGCCCTCACTGGCAACAAATTCTTCCAGTTGGACAAATATTTTATTGGTAGAAAATGTGAGCTCCTCTCAATGTACTGTCACATGAAGGCTCTCAAACCTGTACAAAATCATTTAAATACTCAAAAATTTCCTTAGAGTCCTTTCCAGGCTTGTGTAAAAAACATAACAATAAAAAAAAAATAAAAATTTCCTTAGAGTCCTAAGTGAAATCTATATACCCTACTGACAAGCCAAGGGATTGGTAATTTTTCATGAACTGGGGGGAGGGTAAAAGCTACTTATTATGCGCTAACTATAGAGTACCCAGGCAGATCACTAGTTTTATCATGTTTAGATATGAAAACAGTAGACTGGCCAAGGTAGGTAGTTATGAGAGAGAAACATTCTAAAACCCAGATCTCTTGAGCCAGTGTTCCTCTATCATCAAGTCCATGCAGTAATAAATGTTTGCAGAGTCTGCTGGATCAAATCAAATTTGTGTGTGTCCTGCTCTCCAACAAATGAGCATCACTTAATCATGTTGCACATACAGTATATCAAAAGCCTTTCACATTGGTCCACGATGGGCTGGAAACTCACACACAACTGTTTCTTCACCAAAAACAGCACGAGAATGATGCCTTAGGGCATATCCGGTTTGAAAGCGTGAATGTAGTCAAAATAGTCCAACTAATTCCACTTAATGACAAGTAACATGCACAAAAAACTCCAGTTATACAAGTCCGAATGGCTTTTTAATATTTTTGTGAGAAAAATGTCCTTAGTGTGAGGCAATTATAATAGTGCTCTATTGGCTTTGGTACTTATTTCCGAACCTCAGGAAGTAAAGAGCGCCAATTTGACATTACCATGATTACCAATTATATGCCTGAAAACTGACAGGGCACAAAATTAAATAAAATAATGCTGCCAGAGGGTAAAACTATTATCACAGTCACCAGGATGATTCATGTCAGTAAAGGCTTTGGCTTGCAATTTTCCATGAAACTTTAAGTTGAGATTAAGTATCACAATTAAATGCTAAAACTGAACGCATGTTATGGTATGAGTGAAGACTGTAAGTCCCAAGTTCAACAATATGCCAACTTAGATATCCTGATGGCAAAATGCGGAAAAACGTCCTCACTTTGGTTGTGGTGGGGGGAAAGTAGATATAAAGCTATAAGAAATTTCAGTCCTCCTACTTGAAGGAAATACTACTAACCAAGTCACATCTCATGATCGTGGCTAAGTCATAAGAGACGTGAAATTATGTCTTTGTGACTCACGTTTCTCCTGGACATACAGATAGCCTTCCATCGTCCACTGGCTGGGTGGTCTGTAGTCCTGGTTAGCAGATTTCATCCTTTGCATCAACCGCTCTACCTCTTGTCGAGTACTTTCAAAATTATTCCTTGTCTTAAGTAAACAGAAACAATAATTTCAGTCATTATTTTCTACCAAGTTTCAGCAACATCCAGACTAATATTTTGTTTTGCTTTTATTTATTTTTGAGACAGAGTATCACTCTGTCAACCAGGTGCAATTATGGCTCACTGCAGCCTTGACCTCCAGGGCACAAGTGATCCTCCTGCCTCAGTCCCCACAAGCAGCTGGGACTGTAGGCACACACCACCACACTGGCTAATTTTTTGTAGAGATGGGGTCTTACATGTTTCCCAGGCTGGTCTCAAATTCCCGGGCTCAAGCAATTTGTTCACCTCCCAAAGTGCTGGGATTACAGGTGTGAGCCACCTGACCGGCCCAGAAAAATGTTTCAAAACTGCAAATTGCACAAAGATGACCTTGATTCTTCTGGCAGTATTCACCACATCTATGTCTTTGTGATGTTGGGTCCCAAGGTCTGAGTTGAACTGATTTAGTGAAAACTTGTCTGAATGACCTTCTGCATGTTTCTCTTTGAATCTCTCTCTCTCTCTCTCTGTGTGTGTGTGTGTGTGTGTGACCTTCTTCCTATTTTCACACTCTAACATTATTACTTAGGGGGTAAACTATGGCAATTAAAAAAATATAGGATGCACTACATAAAATTTGAATTCCCTAAATACCTAAGGTAAAAAACAGATACATAGGGACTTAGTTTCTTTTGAGGGAAAAAAACAAAATAAATTCATATACTTTTGATACATGTGGCATAGAACAAGTCAAGAAAAGAAGTTTGTTACCACAGTTCCAAAGGCTATTTTTGAAGAAACATCACGTAGCTTGGTTTACTAGCAAAGGTATTATTAAGAGGTGAGTGTATAAATTAACTCATAAAAATCAATAGGTTTCCAAGTTCTAACTTCTTCTGTTGCAAGAAATAGATTACTCACTTTAAATCAAGTTTATTTAAGCTATAGGAAGAATCAGACTTTTCTCTATGAATACCTCTTTTGCATTACCTCACAAATATGTTTCTGAAGATACAATAATCACTACCACCTAAATCTAAGGAGTTTATTCCCCATTTTAAAAAAAAAAAAATCTCAAAATTAGGAAAATTTTCTTGTCACTTTCACTATTTTTGTCTTTCAAACATAAGGGTCTAATTTTTTTTTCTCCAATTCCTTACTTCTCTCCTGTTCCTGAATCCTAGGAATCTTAATGTAATTTTATTTAATGTGGAAGTAAATCATAAAAATACGTCAGCTTTTATAATTTTCGCTTTTAATAGTAACTGTAAAAGCCTAAATACATTCCATATGGAAAAACAATAGAATGAATTAAAGGTGAAATTGATTCTGCTAGAAAATCTAAGTCAAATAAAAGCTAAAACTCAAAACACAAGGGAATAAATCCCCTTACATATTTCTTATGGGACATTCTAACTCTGTAGTTTTATTTACTGGACATTTCCACAACAGCAAGAACCAGATAAGCAGAAAAACATACACTTTGTAGAAAATTAAGTGAAGGTTTTCCAAATGATTTGGGCTATATAGTACTTGGCAGTCAGGGTTTCAGTTATAGTAAAACCTCAACAATTAAGACATCATTATTTGTCAGGTTTGATAATGTGAAATAGGTTGGCTCAACTTTTGGGTGTGTTTTTATTTCAATGCAAGTGTTGCTCAGCATTTGAACATCAGAATTTGTATAGCTATGCAATCAGAGACTAAAAGGATTCATTAGACAACTTTACAAAATAAATTCTGATAGAAATAGGTGGCCTGTATGGAAATAATTCTCACTTTTAAAAAATTTTTTATTTTGTATTTATTTTTTCTTATTTTTTTTTCAGGTTAGACGGGTAATATGCTGAGATTGTAACAAGGTTCAGAGGGTGGCATGTCTCACACACATGCGTGAACACCCAAACATCATGCCCATGAACTACAAAAGGATCTCTCACTTATGTTTTAAAGCAGTTATTTTGAATGCCTCGAAACCACATTCAAACCTGTTATTTGAAAATAATAAACAGCACATATTTTATATTCAATTTCAGAGAAAGATGAGATCTTTGTTATTAAAGTACAATCCTTCATTTCACAAATAAAGAAATTTTGCTGTCTTAAAAAAGAGACTTCTCAGGCTAGGCACGGTGGGTCACACCTGTAATCCCAGCACTTGGGAGGCCGTGGCGGGTGGATCACCTGAGGTCGGGAGTTCGAGACCAGCCTGACCAACATGGTGAAACCCCGTCTCTACTAAAAATACAAAATTAGCCAGGTGTAGTGGTGCATGCCTGTAATCCCAGCTATTTGGGAAGCTGAGGCAGGAGAATTGCTTGAACCCAGGAGGTGGAGGTTGCGGTGAGCCGAGATCATGCCATTGCACTCCAGCCTGGGTGACGAGCGAAGCTCCATCTTTAAAAAAAAAAAGACTTCTCTAAGGTCTTATTTCCTTATTTCCAGTATTTTCTTTTCTAGTTTTCTTGAGGTATAATTGACAAATAAAAATTGTATAGTTAACATGTACAATGTTATGTTTTAATACATGTATACATTATGAAATTACCACAATCAAGTTAATTAATATATCAATCACCACAGTTACCATCTGTGTATGCTGAGAACATTTAAGACCTAAACTCTCAATAAATTTCAAGTATTCAATACAGTGTTATTACCTAGAGCCACCATACTGCAAATTAGCTCTCCAAACTTACTCATCCTGCATCACCCAGTAAATTAACAAGAACACTGGATGAAGGCAAAAGTTAATAAACTTTCAGGTGTCTCCAACTGGGTAATATTTATTTTTATAAAATTTGCTAGTATAAATTTTTCTAACTAAGATTAGGGTTTTGTGGGTTGTATTTTCCACTAGCAGCTAGAAAAAAATTGTAATTAGTTGCCCTGTGAAATCAGATTTGCAGATTTGCTGAGAGACAGTAAGAACAGGTATACTCTTACATTCTGCAAGTTGAACTGCAGCTGTTGCTTATACGGTGCAAATTCCTGGGCAAGTTCATATCCCTCATGGTAAAAAGTAAATAAGCCCTGAAGAAATGACAAAAGCTGCAAAGATAAAGAGATAAAGAAACCATGAAAATGTGTTTTAATGATCATTTAATGATATAAAATAGGGAGAAAATTATATTTCATTATAATTCCTCAAACTAATACATTTTCAATGGCTTTGGCAAGGCAGGCAATAGATTTACGATTATAAAACAGAAACCACAAAAGGATTTTTATTTCCTTTTTGGTAGACAGTAATTTAACTTTTGAGGCTGATCAAGGACATTTGTCATGTTAACTATTCTGCTATTCAAATGCATTGAAGAAATATCCAGAAGAGACCACTAAGATAACGACTAAAGTATAATAGCATAGATCCCACCCTGGAAGAACTTCTAATCAAAACAAGGGGATAAAAGATGTGCAACGTAAGGAAGACCAAACCAGTAAATCACAGATAAGAAGTACCCAAGGGAAGGAATGAGAATTTGGCCAGATGAAATTAAGAAAAAGTATCACAAGGTGGCAGTACTGATTTGAGTATTGAATAGACAACATTTTAGCAAAGGAATGGAAAGAACATAAAACAGGGAAGTGGTGAGCAAAATCATTGAACTAGATAACACAGGTTTTTCATTTCAGAGAAAGTGAAATCTTTACAAAGTCATAATTTCTATGATCTTAACCTTCTAATCTCAAATTCATATGTGTATTTATGTTTTTATCCATAAATTAAGACAGGCTCTCCATGGAATTACAGGACACAGGTTATATGGAACGTTATATTGGAAAAAAAATTTAAGCATTTTCATTTCATTCACAGGGATTTTATTTCACAGACTTGTCTCCTAACCTAATCTTTCCCACAACCTCTTCCTGCAATAAAGTTAGAAAACATTTTTGAAAAGTCACTCATAATGTATCTGTAACTTATTATTTTAAATTAAGGAAGAAACACAATTTGAAACCATTTTCTCATGTAAATAACACGCAGCCACCTTCTCTGTCTGGGTAGGTAGGGAGGATTCAGCTAAGCATCAACTGGTTACATGTGCTATGATTTCCAACAGATAAACACTGGTTCTATCTGAAAACAATGACCTCATGCTTTTCTTCCTACAAACAAGTCAAGTTAATACAAAGTCATATTCATTTCAGAAAACATTTTCAAACCATTTTTGTTGTTATATTTTAAGGACCTTTCTTCTCTTGTTCAAACAGTCCTGATATTATACCAAAATGTAGCATTTGCCCTTTTATAATTATTTTACACTGTCAGTTTTACATCAACTAATACTTATTATCAAACCTAAATATTCAAGATTATCTTAAAATGATGCTATATTTGTCAAATTATCCAATAAAATATATAGTCTACCTGAATGCATATACTATGGCACAAACAAAACTGCAGCTTAAATTGGATCAAAAATACCTTTAATAAAGGTTTGCATGTTTAGATTTAGAGCCTTTCAGAGAGAAAAGAAAACATTTTTGAAATATATAAAACAGTAGTCTTCTGAACATCCAACTAACAGATTATGAAGTTGCTAAGGAAGTATTGTTTCATGTTTTACCATTTATAATTAATCCACAATTAAACTGTCTCATTACAAACTGGATGCTATACAAAGCAGGTGCTACTTTGAAATCATCATCAGTATAAAAGTTAATTAAACTTGTAAAGAAGATTTTAAGAATATCTGTGATAAATCTTTCTATAAAACAACGAATCCCCTGAGATCCAACTTTTCTAATATTCTTGGTTTCTAGAACATGGAAAAAAGACAAAACACACTGATATTTTCAGAAGCATGAAGTAAACCATTCAGAACTACACCTAGAACATTGCTAAAACTTCTAACAAATGGTCAATTATGATTCTTCAGCCACATAAGTTTCCAGTACATTCAAATTGCTATGCCATGGCTTGATGCTCCAGTCCTAAAGTACTAATACTAATCTGAAAACATGAAATCCAAAGCACTCCAAAATGCAAAATTTTTAGAGCACTGTCACGATACCACAAGTGAAAAAATTCCGCACCTGATACTTTTGCTTTCTGGTGGTTCAATATATACAAACTGTGCTTCATGCACAAAATTATTAAGAATATTGTATAAAATAAAATTATCTTCAAGCTATGTGTATGAGGTGTATAGGAAACATAATGACTTTCATGTTTAGACTTGGATCCAATTCCCAAGGTATCTCATTATGTCTACGCAAATATCCCAAAATATGAAAAAAATCGGAAACACTTCTAGTCCTAAGCATTTTGGATAAGGAATGTCAATGTGTATTCTATTTCAAAAGATTAGACATCTGGAGAAGATGCTGGGTGCGCTTCATGGAACTACCTGTGAGACACTCCCTCATGTGAAGGGCCACTTCATGCTTGCAGATTCACTGAACCACATGTGGGTCGTCCTAACCAAAACTCTTACGGACGTATTTTGACACAGATTTTGGTAAACCAATATTTCCCACTAAACTCTGCTTTTAAATTCTTAATCATGTTCTAAAAAATAAGATCCTGGTACCTTCATCTTATTCATATTATTCTATATCCTCAGCATTTTATATGCAGCCAACTTCAGTCAAGAGGAAAATAAACCCATTGGCAGCTTCTAGCAGAATTCAGATTCACTTAGTAGCAGACAAATACCTTTTAATCTCACAACGCATGCTGAGCACCCACTAGGAAATGTACAATCCTATGGAAGGCACATAAGAATTATATACAAAAAAATCATACACCTTTTCCTTTTTATTCCACATCTTTGGAAGCAGCATTTGGGTTTATTGAAGATTGCATTATGAAATACCTGCCTCTAGATGGCAGCAAAGTTAAACGTTTTTATCGGTTTGAACATATACTTGTTCATTTCATCCTCTACAAAATTCCAAGATGTGAAATGAAAGGAACTGAACAGGACAGCCTGAAAAGCTTTAAGAATTGCACTTCCCACATATCATTTTCTTTGGTGAATCTGCCTGAATGGCTGGGATGTGAGGGAAAAACTATGGTTTCAGTTTACCCTAAAGTAAATTTGACCTTTAAAATAATAACAGTAACCGTAATAACAACTACAAACTTCTAGATAGACGGAATAGGTTTGAATACTAAGAAAGTTCCTTTTATCACTGACGAAATCTCATATAGCACTTTATTATTCCCAAGGGTATAGAACCAAATTACTTGTCGCTCCAATAACCCAACCAGTTGGAAAAACTGATACCATACTTAACAGATAAATAATCTTTTAAAATAACCCCATTACAAGACAGAAAAGGAACAAATATTCAAAATTAAAAACTCGTGCTTCATGTACACTGTCATGAAAATTGAAAGAAAACTCACAGAATGGGAGAATATATTTACAAAAATCATTTATCCCATAAGGGGCTTGTATGCAGAATATATAAACAACTCATAATTAAATAATAAAAAGACAAATAACCTAGTTTAAAAATAGGCAAAGAAATTGAATAGGCATTTCTTGAAAGAAAATATATGAATGGTCAAAAAGCATTTGAAAGATTCTTATTAGTCATCAGAGAAATCGAAATCAAAACCACAGTGAAATCTAAGTTCAGCTCTCTAGGATAGCTAGACTCAAAAAGTGAGATAATAGCAAGTGTGTGTGAGGGACATGGAGAAACTGTATCCCTCATATATCACTGGTGGGAGTGTCAAGGGGTGCAGATATTTTGGTAGTTCGTCAGATGGTGAAACATACAGTTACCACATGACTCAGTAATTCCTCAAGAGAGAGAAAAACATGTATCTACACAAAAATTTGTACATGAACGTTTATAATAGGGGTCCCCAATCCCTGGGCTGCAGGCCAGTAAAGGTCATTTGTGGCCGGTTAGGAACCCAACTGCATGGCAGGAGGTGAGACCTGGGTGAGCTCTGCCTCCTATCAGATCAGTGCTGGCATTAGATTCTCATAGGAGAGTGAGGCCTATTGTGAACTGTGCCTGCGAGGGATCTAGGTTGCCTGCTCCTTATGAGAATCTAACTAATGCCTGATGATCTGAAGTGGAACAGGTTCATCCTGAAACCCTTCCCTCCTCACCAATTTTTTCATGGAAAAATAGTCTTCCATAAAACTGGTCTCTGGTGCCAAAAAGGTTGGGGACCGCTGGTTTATAACATTATTCATAATAGTGAAAAGGTACCTATCAACTAATATTTGGATAAGCAAAATGTGGTCTATCCATACAATAAAATGTTATTTGGCCCTAAAGGGAAATGAAGTATTGATGCATGCTTTCAGATGGATGAACCTCGAAAACCGCATCTGAGTAAAAGAAGTCAATCACCAAAGGGGCCACGTATTACACAATTTCATTTGTATGAAAGGCCCAGAGTAGGCAAATTAATAGAGACAGAAAATAATTAGTGGTGTTTCAGTATTAATGGTTGTGGGGTATACTGGGAATGATACCTAAAGGATGTGATGTTTATTTTTAAGGTGATGAAAATGCTTTAAATTTTTTTGTGGTGATCGTTGCACAGATCTGTGAATATACTAAAGTTCCATTGAATTGTATAGTTTAAATGAGTTGTCTGTATGGTATGTGAATTGTATCTTTATGACTTTTTTTTTTCTTTTTTGAGACAAGGTCTCACCCTTTCACCCAGGCTGGAGGATAGTGGCATGATTAGAGTTCACTGCAGTTTTGACTTCCCAGGCTCAAGTGATCCTCCCACCTCAGCCCCCAAGTAGCTAAGACTACAGGCGCATGACACCATGCCCAACTAATTTTTGTAGAGGTGGGGTTTTGCCATGTTGCAAAGACTGGTTTTGAACTCCTGGGCTCAAACAATCCTCCCGCCTCGGCCTCTCAACTTGCTGGGATTACAGGTGTGAGCAACCATGCCTGGCCTGAAGTTGTTTTTAAAAAATAAAAATAAATACTTCCCAAACACAAAGCACCATAAGGCACTATAAGAAATCAAAATGTTATATAGTTCCATCCTTCATATTTGGCCATCTAAACTTCTAAGAAGATTAGAAAAGTAGGGCAAAGTCAAGGCATCAATTTTCACACTGTAAAAGTGTCAGGCCTGTGAGTTAAATCTGTAGTCTTTGCAATTCCCTGCCTGGAGGAAACTTAGAGATAAACATCTTAAAGGATACCTTCAAAATGACTACAGATTGCTTTAAGTCTAATGCATAGATGTGCAAAGGAGTTCATGGCATGAAAACGAAAGCATATATAAATCGAATCAAATAAATAATGAGAAACTTGAAGATAAAAAGAGAGCCAAGAATGGAAAGTGGCCAGTCAATGCTGGCCTGGAAAAGACTACTTTTAAAATGGGAGGACAGAAGCACAAATGAATGAATGGACAATTACGTGCACTGATTAATAAAACAAAGCCGTGGCCATGCATCGCCTCAGCACTGAAAAGCGTCATTGGAATTCCTGAAAAGATGGATTTGTAAGCATTCAAGAGGATGGAATTCAGATGAAGAGGCCTGAGGTACACTTTCCTGGTAAAGGAACAGAGGCATTGACAATAGCCAGCTTATCTTTACAGCTCAATTGTAATAGAGAAAGTACTGTCACCAGCAAGCTGATAAAGCCCAGCAGAAGCTACATGATTGATTTCTACCAAACACATAGGATGCAGTTTTCTTACTTTTACAAAATTCTGTTCACTAAGTTCTATCACAAATTTCTAATTTTCAATAACAATACCCTGAACTTTAGATTTATCCAAGGACCATTACAGATTTTATTTTTACTTAAAAGTTTTGTTGTTAAATTTTTAAAGAATGAATGCCCTTAGATTTTAAACAGGATAGAAATTTAACCTTTAGTCCTACAGAGTTTCGAAAAACAATGATGCTAACCTTATTTTTTTCACTTTTACTAAATTAAAGCTAACTGATTACGTTGAAAAAGAAAAACACATCAAAATGTTAAACTTTCAAAAGCTGCTCATCTATATACTAGCTGATGGACTTTTAAAAAAGACTTAGCCAGTAGCATTTCAATCTCAAAATTATTTAAGCTTTTTAAATTTAGAGACTCTGAAAAGTATTTTATAGTATACGTCTTGATAATAACAAGCTATAACATGTTAGCAAATTAGGCAAATTTTCTTCAGCGAAAAAATTTAAATTGAATTTAGCAGTCCAAGGGAAGAGCATCAAAAGCACTATATTTTAGCTTATATATGATGATTTATTTTCATTTTCTGCATTAACTTTAAACATTAATACAGAAAGACTATAATGGACTCTAAAAGGAATACTGTAACATGAAAATGCTATTACAAAACTTACTCTAGGTGTATATTTAGAAGGCTAAAATTAAAATGTGTTTTTAAAAAAGCCACACAGGGCTTTAAAGCCACAACTAACAAAGGGATTCATAAATGTTGTTTTCATATCTAGCAATCATAGTACAGGTGAGGTACACACTGGCTGGTGCCTTATTGACGCTAATGAAGTACCAGGTACAAGAGCTTTGTGCATTACCTGTGTTGGTTGATCCTCACCGTGATCCTGGGAACTACACATTATTTTTGTCTTCAACATACAGATAAAAACCTGAGGCAGAGCATTTGTAAAGTGTGCCATATTTGCACAGCTGTAAGATGTGGAGCCAAATTCCATCTTATTCCAACTCGTTAAGCTATTATACTTTCTGTCTCTGCTTACCAAAGGTAAACCTCTTATTTTCTTCTAATTTTAAGGAATTAATATAACTACACTATATAATTTTCTAATCGTCCATTTTATTTGGCCAGAGCAAATATTATCAGGAAGGATTAATCTCTGTAGTTAAGTGTCCACTGAGGAAGTGGTACTATGCCATGACTTCAGATTTGGGTTCTGAGTTCCTATCTGCCACTTTAGGTTTGTGGCCTTAGGCAACCAACAATCTTTCTGTAACTTAGCTTCTTCATCTAACAACTACTTCATAATAATGCTGTTATGGATTTACGTGAGCTAACACAGAGAAAACACATAGCACATAGTAGTTGCTCACAAAACATCAGTCCAACTAAGTAGGCTCAAAGGACATAAATCAACACACACACAAGTTTACAGCTGAATGAATCATAAGGCAGATGAGTCATAACAAGATTCCGTTTTCTAAGCCACAAACCTTTATGTACCATGAAATTCTTCTGAGACCCCTGGGCTCCTCCACAACTCTTATTTAAGCTGTTTGTGTTCAGAGTACTTCTAGAACTGCTTCTTCTAATCCATAAACATTCTCATAACTTCGGGCAGCTCTGAGCAGTAGGTGAATATTATAACCAAGAGTCAGGAGATGTTTCTCCCTCCCTGATCTCTTTCCCCCATCATAGACCTACACTTGCGTACCTTGTTGACACATCTGAAAGGATGAGCCCACTGTTCAAGAGACACATAATATGAGCCACAAATGCAAGCCAATGTGTAATTTACTAGTAAATATATTTAATTTTTATTTATTTTTTTGAGACAGAGTCTCACTCTGCCACCTAGGCCGGAGAGCAGTGCCATGATTTTGTATCACTGCAACCTCTGCCTCCAGGGTTCAAGTGATTCTCGTGCCTCAGCCTCCCCAGTAGCTGGGATTACAGGCACCCACCACCACGCCTGGCTAATTTTTGTATTTTTAGTAGAGATGAGGTTTCACCATGTTGGCCAAGCTGGTCTTGAACTCCTGGTCTCAAGTGATTTGCCTGCCTCAGCCTCCCAAAGTGCTGGGATTACAGGCGTGAGCTACTGTGCCCGGCTAGTAAACATATTTTAAATACTTTAAAAAAACAGTGAAATAAATTTGAATAATTTATTTTAATACAATATATCCAAAATAGCATTTCAACCTGTAATCAGAGGTATTAATGAGCTATTGCCCATTTTTTCATACTAAGATTCTGCAGGCTGCTGTTGATTTTATATTTACAGCACATCCTAACTTAGACTAGCTGTGGGTAATTGCTACCATACAGAATGGTGGGTCTAGAAATCAACAGTGAGCTATAATCCCTTTCTATATAAAATATAATAAACTGGAAAAAAGATGGCTTATAGAGAACTGAGTTTAAAAAGCTGATTTCAGGCCAGGTGTGGTGGCTCACGCCTGTAATCCCAGCACTTTGAGAGGCCAAAACAGGTGGATCACCTGAGGTCAGGAGTTCGAGAACAGCCTGGCCAACATGGTGAAACCCTGTCTCTACTAAAAATATAAAAATTAGCCAGGTGTGGTGGTGCACACCTGTAATTTCAGCTACTCGCTCAGGAGGCTGAGGCAGGAGAATCACTTAAACCTGGCAGGTGGAGGTTGCAGTGAGCTGAGATTATGCCACTGCACTCCAGCCTGGGCAACAGGGCGACACTCCATCTCAAAAACACCAAACACAAACAAAAAAATTGATTTCAGGTATGCTTTTAAAACAATAACACGTAGCTTATTTATAAATAATACATGAATGTCCCCTTTTAGTTCATGTGTCAGACCTAGTTTTTCTTTAGAATAATGACAGTGTAGGATTATTTATTTATTTATTTCCTTATTTATTTATTGAGACAGAGTGTTACTCTGTTGCCCAGGCTGGAGTCCAGCGGCGCGATTTCGGATCACTGCAACCTCCATCTCCCAGGTTCAAACAATTCTCGTGCCTCAGCTTCCCGAGTAGCTTAGATGACAGGCACACACCCCCATGCCCAGCTAATTTTTGTATTTTTAGTAGAGACGGGGTTTCACCATATAGGTCAGGCTGGTCTCGAACTCCTGACCTCAAGCGATCCACCCGCCTCGGCCTCCCAAAGTGCTGGGATTACAGGCATGAGCCACTGTGCCCAGCCAGAATATTTATTCTTAATAGCACATGAATACTGTATAGAAGTTTTATGACAAGCAGTAAGATCTTGATATTGATTAAAACAATGTAAAATAATCTAAAAAATACCATCATAAGGTAAGAATATTATTTCATGAATCACTATCCCCTGTTCATATTTTCTTTTGGATATCTTACAATCTGTAGAAGATAGATCCCATCCCCAGGCCATTTGCTTTACTCTAATGCTTATTTGTTAAAATAATCTGGGCTAAAACTAGAATAGACTACTAGATTTCTGCAACATGCAACAGCAATGCAAACAAGAATTGGATTTCTAAAGAATAAAACCGGCAAAAACATTAAAGTGTTTTCATGTCTTTTTATGTTTATAGCTCCTGGGAGCTTTGGTTTACTACTTTTCTCCTCCAAATTAATTTGTAAATGCATAACCTAAAGATTGACATACATACTCATGCTTCATTGATCCCATTTCTATTCTCATTGTTCAAATGGATATTAAGTACAACTCCATGGATGAGACTCTGAGGCTAGAAATGAGGATGAGACCAAACTGACAGTACTATTTGGTTTGGCCAGATGCTCTACTAGGAAAAACACAGCAGCTGGGAAAATATTTTGGAAGAAGAACAAATATAACATCAATTTTGACTGTGGTGTCATAAGAAAGGCATGCATGACAGAAGACTTAACAGGACATCATAGCTTCGGATAAGGTAAAAGGAAGAAAACACATTTCAATTGAAAGGTGGCTTCTACTTCTCTACTGTATTTTTACAGGAATTCATAAATTCTTGTCATTCCTTCTGCCACCTGTGAACGAACATTTTTTTACAATCTCCTCTGTATACATCTGATGTCATCTTACAGAATGTTCTAGTTCACTATTCCCAGATAGGATGGGCTATAAAAGAGACTTAGGGAAACAAGTGACTCCCATATCATCTTCCAAGAGGAATAAAGGGATACAGATGTGAAAGGATTATTCCAGGTGTGAGAAGAAACAACAGCACAGCAGATCAGCACAGTGTCTGAAGGAAATGGGAAGATACAAGGAAGGAATATGCAGAAAAACTGTCAGAATTAATGGAGTCTCAGATGGTTTGGTGTCAAGAAGAGCTGAAATTCAAAAATCCCAAGGTGCAGGCCCTAGGGAAGTAGTTTGCTAGCAAGAAGCGAGGCTTCAAAAACCATGGTGGGATTCTGGGGTGGGACTTAGTCAATGGGAAGGTGAACAGGAACCATAAGTAGTGGTCATCTTCCTAGAATAGGAAATGTTAGGCTGGCTAGTTGTCCATGAGCCCCAGATGAGCTTCAGAACATTCTCTAGGTCATATAAAGTTTAATCAGATCCTTAAAGGGTCCACTATATAAGAGGATAATGCTAGGGGATTTAAGGATTAAGCTGTTTGGTAAACAGAACTTGAACTTCAGTTTGTTATTCTAAATAAAACGTAAAAGTTAAATCCCTGAGCCTGAGTGGTGGTCTTCAGTTCCTTAATCTTTCTAGCTGGAAGCTGGTCTTGCAAATGTGCCTACTGCCTAGTTTACAGGAGAGAGTCAGTAGGCTCCAAATAAAGGAAGAGGTCCTGGAAGCCAGGTTGGGCCTGATAACAGTCCCCAACCTCTGCTCTGTCTCAGTTTTCCATTATCTTTAGGGGATAGCTGGTGGATTTCCATTAGAAAATGATTTATGTGAAATGTATTTTATAATGTTGCCTTCCTTTCCCTCTCCTTATCATATCCACTAATATAGAAACAGAGTATTTTATTTTTTATTATGAATGGATTTTTTAAAGGACTTACATAGGAAGAAAAGAATGGCTTAGATTAGATATTTGATTACTTACACATTTATTAACCCTATCCTCTGATCTCATGGGAATTGAAGAATGCAGACAACAGATCACCTGACTCTAGAGCAAACCTTTATTCATCATACATGTCACTTTGTCAAGATGCCTATTTAGGCAATATTGGAACACATTAGGGTATCACTTGAAAAAAATGCTAAAAAATGAAATAAGCTTATAAAGACCAGCCACCTGTTCTTTTCTGTAACGCGGTTTACATTAGGAAATCCATTACATTTTACACTGACTTAGGAAAATAAATGACTTCATAGGAAAGTCAAGCAGATCCGAGCCCTGTGAGGAAGGGGAGCACAGAACAAAGGGGAAAACAGAGCCGTTGGTTTTCCCTCTCCGTCTAAACATTTGCTAAATGGGTCACTGTACTGGTGAAGTGTATTCATTCATCTATAGATAATGCACATCCTCTTTTTAAAAAATTTCTTTAATTAATACACTTTATTTTTGGAGCAGTTTTAGGTTTGCCAAAAAATGAGTGGAAAGAATGAAGTTCCCTTATGCCCTCTCAGCTCACCTGTCCCCCACCACCTCTGCACCCCCCTCCCGCCAACAGCTTCCTCTCTTATTAGCATCTTGCATTTCTGTGGTACATTTGTTATAGTCGATGAAACAATGCTAATACATTAATATTAACTGAATCCATAGTATACATTAGGGCTCAGTTTTTGTGCTACACATTCTATGGGTTTTGACAAACATATAACGGTATTCTCACCCATCACTACTCTATTGTACAAAAGAATTTCACTGTCCTACAAGTTCCCTGTGCTCCACTTTTTCATCCCTTCCCACTCCCCTTTTATTTTTATCAATCATAATTTTCAAGAAAAATTATATATTATAGAAAAAACAGTGTACTTTTTTTCCATAGATTGTTTTGAGCCCACCATTTATACAAAAATCTGAAACTTACCGGTTCAACAAATTCAAACTTCTTTTTTTCTTGGACCTCTTGAATTTTAAAGACATATTCTAATGATGCTTCATAGAAGTTCTGATGTTCTCGGTCAATTTGTGTATCTGCCTAAAGAGAAAAACCAGAGGGTGATTACTGATGGTTCTACATAGAGAGGGACTCAATTCCTGCTCTGGTATCTTTATTAAAAAGTAACTCCTACAAAAAGTTTAACACAGCACTTATTATAGTCCTTGCCTACAGGAGCTTATAGTGTATGGGGCAGGAGCTACACTCACACACACAGACACATACACACACGGAGTAAGTACACAATACCCATTGCAGTAAAAAAAAAAAAAAAAAAAAAAAAAAAATATATATATATATATATATATATATATATATGTATATATATATTACAAGAGGGGTATATAAATGTAAATGAAAAATCACTGGATCATAGAAAGATGGATAAAATTCAAAATTATGGGACAAAATGGTGGTATTTGAGTTGAATCTTAAGACAAACAACTGACTGCATTGCCAAAAATATAAAAAAAGCAGGGGCCGTTTTCCTGAAAAAGTAGAGGCACGAAGGAGACAGATTTGACTGCAGTATGAACACACGGAGAAGAAGAGGGAGAAGTGAGGATAGCATCATACTATAAAGTATCTTGGATGCTGCATAACAAATTAGGATTTTAATGGTGGGAGAAGCATCTAAGAATATTAAGCAGGAGAGCCACCTCATTAGGTAAGATCTTAGGTAATACTGGTAGCAGAGTCAAACAAATAAACAGACAAATAAAAATTCAATGGCTCTAAACTGATGAATCATGCTTTGTCAATGCCATGCACTTTTATTATATCTGATTGCAGTAAGGTTCTATTGACAAAGTATGAGAGAGTATTACTGAGGTGATTTAATTTTCTTTTAGACAATGCCTCTCTCTTCCCTCTTCTCTGCCTATTGCCCTCAGATGCACTCTTTAAAAAGTGACTTTAGCTTAGCAGAGAGACATGACTTACTTTTCTTGCCCACCTCTACCTTCCTTGTCGCCAGTTGGGTATTACAAAAGCAGATGGAAAGAAGGGGCTTTCTGGAGTACTAAGTATCCGTTGACACCAATTTGGGGATAGAAAACTTGAAGCCATTTATAATGGTGGTTTCACAAACAAAATTTTTGAAAAAAAAAGATTTTATTGGTAAGACTTCCAGTTAACAGACTCTATTAGTAATTAAGTTTTGGAAGAGTAAAAAATTATACATGTACTTTCAACTATGCAGGGAGTAGGTGCACCTAACCCCCATGTTGTTCAAGAATCAGCTGTAATTATCTATACTTATCATGCATTTAATTAGGTAATTACAAATAATCCAATATTACCAGCAACTCACTAGAGACGTTTAAAGTTGAGTATTCTAAATTTTTAAGCTAATAAATGTGAAGAAAGTATAAATCAGGTAGGAGATTTGAACCCAAAACTTTTCAGCTCCCAGACATCATTTATGAAAGATAGAGGTGCAAAAAAGAACATCAGTATTCCACACAAATCATGTTTCTTTTCTTCTTACCATCGCTTATTGGAACACACTATATACATAAGAATTAATTAATTTAGTAATGAGGGATAGGTGTTAATAAATGTTTAACAACTGGCTGTCTTGGGAGAAAAGCCTGATTTGCAGTATTTGTGGTTTCTGTGGTACAAATATCACCAAAATGGGCAGTTTCAAAACACAAACTCAACATCACAGAATGTGGAAGCTGGAAAGAGACGCAGGAAAAGGGCTCTCTGGAGTGAGTCTTAGCACACTACTGGGTGAAAGGGCTGCAAGAATATTTTCAGTTTTAGGGACACTATTCTATTCCACAAGTTATTTTGAAAATTTTATTTACTTTAAAAGATAATGTCAGGCTGGATATGGTGGCTCACATCTGTAATCCCAGCACTTTGAGAGGCCAACGTGGGAGGACTGCTTGAGCTCAGGAGTTCAAGACCAGCCTGGGCAATCTAGTGAGATGCTGTCTCCATTTTTTTTAAAAAAGAAAAAATACATAACATCACTGATTGTGTTGCCTAGCACATGGGAACAAACTAGAATGTTGAGCCCTTTAGAGTCTAAAATGTTTTTTTTTCTAGTCAATGGAACTATGCAGAAAAGATTTAGCACAGCAGGCCTGACTGCTGTGTTTTGAAAGGTTTGCTTACAAGGTTGGCCCTTGGCTGGTGTCTGGGAATGTTAGTTTAGGGAGGGTTCACATCACTCTAACTGCTAAGAGGTGGCTTACTGCACCTAAACTGTTTGTACAAACAATACGGTTTATGCAAATATCTCCTTTCCCTCTGGGAGTTTGGAATTTGGGTACGTGCCAGGAAGCGAGTGCTATGTGACCAGCCTCCAATAAGTCTCTAGACAACAAGTCTCTAATGAACTTCCTTGGTGGACAACATTTCACATGCCACAGCTCCTTGCAGGGGGGAATTGAGCATGCTCTGAGTGTCTCCACTGGGAGAGCACTCTTAGAAGGTTGCACCTGGTTTCCCCCAGAATTTGTCCCCTGTACCCTTTTTTATTTCCTTTTACTGTAATAAATCATAGCCACGAGTATGACTATATGCTGAGTCCTGTGAGTTCTCCAAGCAAATTACCAAAGCTGGGGGTGGTCTTGGGTACCCCAACACAAAAGTATTAAGTCATTTCTTCAGAAATGTATTTGCCATGCACAGTCTCATCCCACTTGCCCCCCTCCAAAAAGGGGAATGAGAAGCAAAGAAAGGATGAAAGAGAAATGACTCTTGCTGCTTGCCACTTATAGGTGTTTTCATAGCCTCCAATGCGGACTACTGAAATTTGATACACCAAAGCTGCTGTGAAACGTCATCCAGAGCATACAGTATTAAGGAATATGACAGTTTAATTTCTTTACAGTACAAGATATAGAAAGACATTCTTTTAGTTAAAATAGATCTCTTTAGTATTTAAGCTCACCATATGACTCACTAGCAAACACTTGCTTATAAATCCACTAGCAACTGGTACTATATATTTTGTACTGGATAAGTAGAGTAACACTAGGATTCATCAATCGAAATGAGATAATTTTAAAACTGAAAGAGAGCACTAGTAATAATTAGGCCAGAACAACAGGTGTAAACTTGTTTACCTGGCAAAAAGGGACCTAAAGAAACCAGATTAATTTAATAAGAAAACCATATGGTTCTGCAGATAGCTTATTGTAATGCTATCTCAATTCAAAAGACAGGGAAAGGCATCAGGTGATATTTGTTGGATATTTTCCCAAGGAGAAAAGATTTAAGCTTGATTTTGAAGAATGAGGAACAGATAAAATGAGAAGAGTTTGAGTGATGTGATAGAGTCAGGAAAAGAGAAGCTATGCTTAGGTAGGACAAAAGGTTTGTGACTAAAGGTTTTGTTTGGAGGAGACAGAAATGAGAGTTAAGGCAGAAAAAAATAAAATGAGTGTAGATTTCATCATATAGGCAGTGCAAAAACTTAAGAAGGAGGCTGACAAGAAACAAGCAACATTCAAGATTAACATGAAGACAGTGCAGCATATAGTAATTAAGTGGTAGCCTAAGTACATGTGAATATAAAAAGATCTCTTATCTGATAATGGTGAAGGTGTCTGGTGCACCCCAGCAAGAAAGAGAAGCTGAATGATGTGGGTGTGAGAAGCAAGGAAAAAGCCAAAGATAAATTTGATACAAAAAAATACTACTACTAGGCTGGGCGGAGCTCATGCCTATAATCCCAGCAATTTGGGAGGCCAAGATGGGAGGATCACTTGAGGTCAGGAGTTCAAGACCAGCCTGGCCAACATAGTGAAACCCTGTCTCCACTAAAAATACAAAAATTTGCTGGGCATGGTAATGCACACCTGTAGTCCCAGCTACTCGGGAGGCTGAGGCACAAGAATTGCTTGGACCCAAGAGGTGGAGGTTGCAGTGAGCCAAGATCATGCCTCCACATTCCAGCCTGGGCAACAGAGTGAGACTTGGTCTCAAAAAACAAATAAATAAATCATAATCATAATCATAATACTAGCATTAACAGATAATTTAAAAATGAGAGGTAGGAGCAAATTTGGGAAAAGAGGGTGAGGTGCAAGATTTCACATATCACTAGGAATTGGTCAATCTAAAGTCTTAGCAACCAGACAGAGGACATTGCAAAGACAGTCCGGCACAACAAAATCATCCCTTGAGAGATGTTCATCCAGATGTTATAAACAATGTGAAAGTAGAAGAGGTTTCAGGGACAGAAACTGAAGGATAAGAATAGAGATATTAAGAACTATGCCTAAGGACTTTACTTCATTTAGGAAGTGCCTCAAGAGGAACCTACTGAAAGAATAGTTAGTGATAGGTGGAAAACCAACACCTGGGTGTCTAAAGGGAATCTATTTTCCCCTTTACTTTTTTCTTAATTATAAATGTAAAAATATTCATTATTGTAAGCTTATTTATTATTTGTTACTATGACAGAGAAATGTGAAGATAGTAAGAATTGCAATCCCACTGTTTAATATTTTGATGTGTAACACACACACACACACACACACACACACACACACACAAACTTATTTTAAAACAAACCTGTATAATACTGTATATTCTGGTTTACAATCTGCTTTTTTCCTGCTTATTTGTATGAATATTTCTCAATGTCTTTAAATAATTCTCCAAATAAAACTTTTAACATATCACACTCCATTTTTGATCAAACTACATTTGTGTATTTACCCCAATTATTCTTTGTGACATTTCAGATGTTTCTAAATTTCTGCACTTATGAATCTTGGATCAATATTTAAACTATATTTACACAATTTTTGTGCTCATCTCTGATAATTTCTTTGGGGTAAATTCTTACCAAGAGAAATCGTCTCAACTACCTAGCATGTTTCAGGTTTGTTGAAATACAATGTCAAATTTACCTTAAGAATGATTAAATCTTATGCTCCCACCAGGAGAACAAAAGTGTGCCCAATTTCCTATACCTTCACTAACAATAGATATTATCTTGATCAAATTGAAAATGACATGTTGTTATTTGCGTTTTCAAATACATGTGACACTGAAACTAACCACTTTTATTATAGTTTATATTTCCTCCTTAGTCAATGCCTGTTTGCCTTCTTAGCCCATTTTTTCCATTGAAGTGTTTACCTTTCTGACACTGATTTTCCAATGCTTCTTGTATATAAGAGATGATAGCCCCATGTCATATGTTGTTTAAATTCCCTAATGGTTTGACATTTAATTTGGTTTAATGTCTTTCAAAACAGATTACTTATTTTTATGCATTCAGGTCTTTCTACATTTCCTTTATGCTTAGAAAAGAATTATTTATTCACATAACAAATATTACTCCTTTCTATCCACTATAAAGCCTATAATCTTGACAAGTTTGCTTCTGATTCTCCAACTGTTTACTCCAATGGCCTAGTTGACGGCCTTGGGATTTTGTTAATAAAAGATGACCCTTCAATTCAGTCCTGGAAATGGGCAGCCACTTATTTTTCATGAACAAAATGAATAAGGAGTCAGCTGTGCAGGTAGGAAGGCACAGAGGAGCCTTTTTGAGAACAAGTTAATAAGCTTGGTGCTGACAGAAGGACCAGAGCTGTTCTAGAAAGGAGCAGATGACTTTTAATGCCATGTCACAGAATTAAATATGTTTATGACAGCATCTCCCTACAACAGGTCTGATTCCTAGAGGGGCGAAGGGAGGGGGGAACCCAAGCTACATTTTGCCTTGTCTACATTATATACCCTGGGAAGCTACTTTAACAAAATTTGTTAGTTGTGTTGTGTTCTAAGATGTATCTCCTGGAAAAGAAGTGTGTGTGTACTTGTGGAGTGAGGTGGGGGAGAGGATGTTACTATGCTATTATCTTCTCCAGCCTCCACTTAAACATGGAACCAGAATGAATATTCTATTATACCATAGCCTAAGCTACTAGCGAGGCAAGTAATGAATATTGAGCTAAGTTGTCAGGAAAAATTGAGGTATATTCTCTAGAGCTCTTTAAAATTAGGATAATGTTATCATTTCCTTAAGGTGGTTTAAGCAATATCCTTT
This sequence comes from Homo sapiens, assembly GCF_000001405.40. NCBI lineage: Eukaryota > Metazoa > Chordata > Mammalia > Primates > Hominidae > Homo > Homo sapiens. The sequence goes on along the minus strand of NC_000011.10, from coordinate 100,915,507 downwards.
CAAAGGATGACTTCCGATATTTATTGGAGCCTGAAGTTCTTTAGGGCCTCTAAGACCACCCATAATTTTCCTGTAGTCAATTTGTAAAAAGGCACCTGGCCATAGCCCTGGGCATGGTAGATGATGATGTACTGGTGATAATTAGATGAGTGTCTCTCTACATAACTACATCCACATCCATACCATAACTCCATTCACTCTTAGGTTTATTCTAGTGCAATGTATTAAGACATTTGGTCTTAATATCACTTAAGACATTTTGGTACATGTAAACATAGTATTAAATTACAACAAGCAGTACCAAATACAGTAAGGTTAAATATGTCCAAGAAATTTCAAATAGAAATCTAGTTTTTCTTAATGGCAGATTGTCTTCCATCAGTTTAGCATCAAAATCTTTCCATAAGCACATAATTATATATTAAATTATACTATTTTTAATAGCATGTGTTAATAACAGAAAGCACACTGATGAAGCCATATATAAATATTAAGCACAACAAAACTTCCCAATGTTAAACATCTTTAAATAAAGAAATTTGATACTGTCGATGAGAACATATGCCTGTTGGAAAAAAAAGGCATCAGATGCCAAAATTACACTCCTATTTCTTTTTGAGGCTGTAGGAACTTTGTAACACTCTGAGTTGTCAAGCATGCCTTCTGGTTGAACTCAGAGGTAGGAGAAATAAGAAAAGGAATAAAGAGAGCTGAGGACCAGGATGAATTTGAAAAGCAGTTCAGGAAGGGAGGAGGTTTTCCTAGCAGAAGGATCAGGAGAGAGGCTCTGGACTACAACAACTATAAGTGAAGAGAGAGGAGGAGGAGACTAAAGGAGACCTCACGGTTCCCGATCACTTTTTAGACAGCAGTGTTGAGCTGCGGGTGAGCTACCCAGCAACTCCCTACTAATGGTGTTCACTTCAGAGTACACCAGGAGGCGGAGGAGAGATGAGCGCTGCTTCACATTTGTTGTTGTTGTTGTTGTTGTTGTTGTTCTCAAGGTGACAATGGCAAGGGAGTCTGTTTGTTTATTTATTTATTTTTTTTGGACACACTTTGTCACTGAAATTGGAACTACATTATTCCTTAGTAAAAGAAGTGGCTTTGATTTTATGAATTATAGTTAAAACACTACCAATGGGAAGAATAAAATATATTTCAGACAGATGGAAGAAACAAACTGCTTAGATGTGTAGATGTGAGCAAAATATTTATTCATTTGTTCTTAAAGAATTTCATATAAAATAATTGAGATTTTAAAACATGTAGCGGTGGGGCACAGTGGTTCATGCCTGTGATCCCAGCACTTTGAGAGGCTAAGGCAGGCAGATCGCTTAAGGTGAAGAGTTCAAGACCAGCCTGACTAACATGGTGAAACCCCGTCTCCATTAAAAATACAAAAATTAGCTGGGCTTGGTGGCACATGCCTGTAATCTCAGCTACTCAGAAGGCTGCAGCACAAGAATTGCTTGAACCCAGGAGGCAGAGGTTGCAGTGAGCTGAGAGTGCACCACTGCACTCCAGCCTGGGCGACACAGCCAAACTCCATCTCAAAAATAAAATAAAATAAAATAAAATGTGTAGCTGTGTATCTATCTTTCCCACAACGCTGAAGCAAGGCCTTAAAATCAATGTCAGAGATATTTTAACTTTAAGCTGAAGGCCATAACATGAATTTAATAGGTCCTGTCCCTTTAAAAATGCTCAAAAAGAATAAAAGTGAAAGATCTTGTTTCAACCTTTCTCATTGTTGAAAGAAATATTGATCCTTCACTTGGAACAGTTATAATGTGTTTAAAGTATCGCCCATAGTAAGTGCTCAATTAATTTAGCCATTGCTATCATAATTATTTTATTAAATAGTAGCAGATTTTGAGATAGTTTTACCTTTGGAAATTTTGACTTTATATGACTTAATGCCTTTTCCATTATTTCAGTTGGAAAAGCTTACCTCTTGTAAATGAGACTCCTTTTTCTTTGCGGACAAATTTAAATGCTTTTCAAGGATAGAGTAATATTTTTCACTCTCTTTGTCAAACTTCTTCTTTCCATCCTAAAGGAGAGCAATAACAACAAAAAATATTTAACTCAGAGCACCCAGAAAACCCCGACTTTCACCATTCCCATCAAAGTCCCATGTAATTATTTAATAAAGACAGTGAGTCCCAACTATGTGTAAAACCTTAATTTAGTAAAAATAGGAAGATGTAAGTGAAACAAGCCATTTCAGTATGTACTCTGCTCTCAAAAAAGCTTTCCATCTTGCGGTGAGAAATCCATGTATAAACAAACAGGGCAAGTCACATCTCCTTTGGAGTAAATGGAACTGTAGTATGGGTAGGGGCCAGGCTGGCTACAGTAGAGTCCCACCAAGAGCTCTATAATTGACTCTTAACAATAGATTCTGATCCAGTGGGTCTGAGATGTGACCAAGAGAAAAATGTCTTTTTTAGGCTTTTTGTTGATTCAGATGAGTCAATATATAATGTCTAAAGAACCCACTCACATGGAATCTTTTCACAGAATCATATTATTTCTTAGCCACAAAAGACACCTGAAATATCAAACAACTCATTCTTGACATGGAGGAGAAGATTTTTAAATGCTGGTAGCTTCAAATAATTAAATAAGAAAATTTGAAGTCGAATAAATTGAAAGGATTAACAACCTCTGTACCATAAACTCTGAACATAACTCTTAATAGCCGACCTTTGTTCCTGATATGTTGGAGTTTTGGGGAACAACTGGGAGGGGGAATAGCTGAGAAGGGAGTAACTTTACCTTTTATCTTATGGCATGCCTCCATAGAAATGCAAATGGAATGAAATATTGAAGGGAAGAGGACATTCCTGGGCATATAATCTTCTACTACTATAAATGTTGTATCCACCAGATATGTCTTTTCCATTTATAAGTCCATATGAAACAAATACTAAGTAACTACAATCATAAATTTCATTGGCCAAAGAAGTACTACTCCTTCCTTTTATTTCAGTGTCTCTGAAACTGCAACCTCTGGATCACCTGAACTAGGTGTTTATAAGCATGTTCAGACTGCAGATTCCTATTTTTCTCCTTCCAGAGATTCTGGAACTGATTTTTTTTAACAAGTTCATTATGTGTTTATAACACATAATGCTTTGCTTCATTACTTGCATAAATACCTAGAAAAGGTTACTTAAAAATAATCAATGAATAGATGCACAGACGGATGGGTGGTGGAAGGGAAAGAAGGAGAGAGGGAAGTATTAGATTAGTGCAGAAGTAATTGCAGTTTTTGAACCTAATTGAAGAGAAGGAAAATCTTCTAGCTTAAGGGATTTTTCCTGCTATTCTGAGGTTGTCAAATCCAGGTTTATCTATCTAGGAAATGTAATTTTGATCCATTGGCACTCTTAAGTTTCTTCTCAGTTATACTTCCAAGAATCTATCATAATCTTTTTCCATGTGTGGAATTTTAGGAAGTGAGCTGGTAAAATTGAGCTGAAAAGGGAGAGTAAGTCAGGTTCTGCTTTAAGAGTTCACATCACTTTTAGACCATGTAAGAAGTACTGAGATGCTTGTACATTAAAATATTACCATCTATAAATGGGGGGAAGGGAATAAATCAAACTATTCAAATAATTCTTATTACCTAAGGAGAAAATGTGGTCCTACCAAGATAAACACAACTGGAAAATGAGTAGGATTCCACCACAAAAGGTGTGTTAAGAAACTCACATTACAAAACATGAAATAGCTGACCCAAAGGAAAAGAGAGGCCCAAGGTTCAGGATAGAGAGGCTAGTCCTCTCCACTCACTGTTGGAGTAGATACCCAGGTGAATTTCTCATCTTTTGCTTGGTGGATGTTACTCTTTAATCTGGCACTTTATGTCCACAACTTACCTGCAACATACCTTTCTAAAGGTCTCTCTCACTACCTCTTTTTCAGCTCCCTATCCATGATCCTTTTTTCTTTTCTCTCTCTAGGTCATTCCCTCTGACATAAATGCTCATTTCTTCCAATTTCCACACATTCAAATTATATCTACTTTTAGCATCCAGCTCAAATAAATGCCATTCATAATTCCCTTCTTTCAACTCTCTCCTTTTTGAATGCTCATATAGTTATATATATGGGTCTCTACTAGGGTTCATGTTCTACTTACAGCAGAGATTTTATGTATACACCCCCATCTACCTTAAAATGGAATACCTAATGAATACTCAATAAATATTTAATAAGTAAATTCTTCTTCTTATAATAGTGGCCACCACAGACCCTCACAGACATTCTATTTGTTCAACAAACTGTTATCCATGGTACAAGGGACAAATCTGTACAAACAGTCCTAACTCAAATCCACTAAGTGAGCAACCAGCCGGGTTACAGTATAGTACAGAAAACTGACTCCCTTTCATCTTAAAATAGATGCTTAAAATTTCTCACTTTTCATAGAAGAGGAAGAAACTGGTTTCAGGAGGAGAGTGCACAGCTGTGGTGACAACACTTGTATCTTTGTTTTCAGTTTGTGTAGGGTGACATTTTTGGAAATGTTAATTTGGAGCCAATACATCAGCATTTCTGGCAATACAAAAATCATTCTGAGAACCACTTCCTGGACTCTTATTCAAACCAGGCCCCTTCACACCACCAGGCCAGAAAAAAAGATCTCAAGGGTTCCAATGATGTAGGTAACAAAAGCACACTCAGTTTAAGCATAAAATTAAAGAGCTGAGATAAAAGACTAGGCCACATGAGGGACAACTATAATCTAGGGAAGCATGCTCTAGAAAACAAAAAGCACTTTTCCTTGCAACTCACATCTCCTCCAAAAGCCATGATTTACTGCTCATGTAAGCCAAGTCTTATTTGGACTTAGTAATGTAACCCCATATAGCTACCTCTTGTCTCTTGTGTTACTTGTTGTGGACATGAAACTAAGAATTTTCTCTGAAATAAGCGCTGCTTAAGGAAGGGGAAAATAACCCATGAATTGTTCCTAAATGCTGTTCATGATCACTGTTTTCTTATTGATATGGCATTATTTTAAAAAAATAGAGACTTCATACTGTAATGGGATGTTTTCTGTCAGTCCACAGTATGTGCATTTCAATTAAGTAATCATTTAAAATAAAATCACAATAAAATAATAATCTCGATGGAAAAAAGATGAGAAGTGAGGTAGAAGGGGATGTCCTAGAAGATAAATGACCCTATATAAAGCATAGTACTGTTTTTAGTATCATAGTTGCTGCCGTTACTTACTATATGTCTATGCAGATAAAGATGGAGAGACAGAGAGAGGAGACACAGAGACAGAAGGCAACTACTGTCTAAATAAATAAAATATATCCTCAAAAACGGTGAATTAGTTCTCAGACCCAATTCTAGCTGGTGAAAAGTAAGCTACATTTGGGTCTGCAATCAGTTGGCTTTCTAATCTACACTGCATTTATTCTGGGTATAGTGCTCACGTTATTACTTACCAACAATAACCATGGTCATGCCACATGTCCATTTTATACACTCAAATGAGGAATGGAAGGAAACTACTGTAACACAAACTCCAAGCGTCAACTTTGCTCTTAAAATTATGGTTTGTATTAATTTTAAAAGTGTCAAATATTTATAAGACTGTAGGCATATCACAAAGATAAAAATATATTAAAATACACACTCTTACAACCAACTGATCTTTGAAAAAGTTGACAAAAATATATAATAGGGAAAGGACACCCTATTCAATAAATGATGCTGGAAAATTGGACAGCCATATGCAGAAGCATGAAACTGGACCCCAATCTTTTCTCTCACCATATACAAAAATTAACTCAAGATGGGTTAAAGACTTCAAGGTAAGATCTGAAACTATAAAAATCCTAGAAGGCTGGATGCCGGTGGCTCATGCCTGTAATCCCAGCACTTTGGGAGATGGATCGTCCGAGGTCAGGAGTTCGAGACCAGCATGGCCAACATGATGAAACCCTGCCTTTAATAAAAACACAAAAATTAGCTGGGCATGGCGACGGGCATTTGTAATCCAGCTATTCGGGAGGCTGAGGCAGGAGAATCGCTTGAACCCTGGAGCAGAGGTTGCAGTGAGCCAAGATCGCGCCACTGCACTCCAGCCTGGGCAACAAGAGTGAAACTCTGTCTCAAAAAGAAAAAAAAAAAAAAACAAGAAAAGTCCTAGAGAAAAACCTAGGAAAAACTCTGGCCTATGGAAAGAATGTACGACTAAAACCTCAAAAGCAAATGCAACACAAACAAAAAATAGAACTTAATTAAACTAAAAAGCTTCTGAACAGCAAAAGAAATAATCAACAAGTAAAAAGACTACCTACAGAATGGGAGAAAGTATTTGCAAACAATCCATCCAACAAAGGGCTAATATCCATAACCTACAAGGAATTCAATCAACCTCACAATAAAAAGACAAATAACCCTATTAAAAAGTAGGCAGAGGATATGAATAGATACTTCTCAAGAGAAGACACACAAGCAGCTAACAAACATACAAAAAAATGCTCAATGTCTCTAATCATCAGAGAAATGCAAATTAAAACCACAATGAGATACCATCTCACATCAGTCAGAATGGCTGGTCAGAAAACCACAGATGCTGGCGAGACTGCAGAGAAAAGGGAATGATTATACCCTGCTGGTGGAAATATAAATTATTTCTATGGAAAACAGTATGAAGGTTTTGCAAAGAACTAAGAATAGAGCTACCGTTTTACCTAGCAATCCCAGTACAAGATGGGATTACCCAAAGGGAAAGAAATCATTAGATCAAAAAGTTACCTGCACTCATATGTTTATCACAGCAGCATTCACAATAGCAAACTCATGGAATCAACCTAAGTGTCCATCAATGGATAACTGGATTTTATAAATGTGATATATATACACCATGGAATACTTACTACTCAGCCATAAAGAAGAATGAAATCATGTCTCTTACAGCAACATAGATGGAACTGGGGGCCATTATCCTAAGAAAAATGACTCAGAAACAGCCAAAAACTGTATGTTCTAACTTATAAGTCAGAGCTAAAAAATGGGTACACATGAATATACAGAGTGGAGTAATAGACACTGGAGACTCCAAACAGTGGGAGGCAGGTGAAGGATGAAACATTACCTGTTGGGTACAATGAACACTATTCAGGTGATGGGTACACTAAAACCCCGGAATACACACTATTGTTTTAAAAGAGGCCAACTCAATGTCTTCCACTGATGACAAGCAAGTACCAAAGATGAAGAACAAACTTTACCACACTTAATCATAAATAGAAATAAATTATGGAAATGTTATCTAACCCCATTTTTCTACAAAAGACTACTAGAAAGCTTTGTTTAAATACTTAAATTAGAAATCTTCATTTTAATATTACTAGAAGTTTTTAAAAATAAGTGAATATTTCTACATTTCTTTGTAGTAAAAGAACCTATCATTAATATTGATTCATGATATTTTCAACAGTCTCAGTATTATTAATTGCCACATAGGATATTGTGAAATTTCCCAAGCAACTATTTTTGTTATCATGTTAGCATAGCCATTACCTAAATAAGCACTACTTTGAGAAATCCTTCAACTTAAGTAATAGTAAAAACCAATAGCTAAGTTTCTATTCCAAAAACATGAGGAATTCTTATAAATTATCATGGTGCTAGGCTCTGAAAATACATAAGAGGATTAGAGATAGCCCCAACTACCACCCCTAATTAGACTTCTTCTTCCTCTGATGGTGGGATGTACTCCTTGCCTAGAGTGGCAGCCCACAGCAGCATCACCACCTCTGATTCCCAGAAGGGCCAGTTGCTAGCACAGTCCATCCCACGTTGTTTAGGCATTACCTGGAGCCCAAGGGATCTTGGCATCCAGAAGCTCAATTTGGTGAAAATATTGGTGTGGCTTGCACAGCAGTGTCTCTCCTGTGGGTGATTCCACCCAACAACTCCTAATCTCTCCAACCCATTCTCCACCAACTCCCCCATCTGCAAGCAGCTGAAATCCAGACATCCCAAAATGGCTTCTTTCTGGAGGGTTGTACCATTATAATTCACCATATCTCTTGCTTTCCCAATTACATCATTGCCACCACCACCAGGTAATCAAACTCACAGGAACCAAAGGATTCACATTCGCATTTACAAGGAACTCCTACAAACTGGACAGAAAGAAGCAAACAGATAACGCATGTCAAGGATATGAAGGGATAATACACAAAAGAGGAAACCCGAAGTGTAACATGCATATGAAGAGTTGTTCAAACTCATTCATTATTGGAGACAAACAAATTAAATCCATGAGATATTACATTATATCAGTTGGATGCTCTAAGAGTTAGAAAGTTGAATGATGCCATGTGCTAAGAGCATGTGGAGACACAGGAACCCTTAGGTACTACTGATGGGATTGTAGAGGGGTGAAGTCTTTTTAGAGGGAAACATTGCACTACTAAGGGACATATATGTGTGTCCTAAGAACCAACTTCTGGGTGTATCTCTCAATGAGATGCTAACAGAAATGTCCACAGCAAACATGAATGAGCATATTCATTAAGTTGTTACCTGTGGAAACAGAAAAGGAGATGGGGTATTTGTTAGAGGGTACATAAAATGTATTAGATGTGTACTATGGAGTGCTACACGGAATTTAGAGAGAAATAATAAGTGTTGATGGATCTCAAAACACAGTTCTGGGTAGAAAAATTTAAAACAAATAGATACATAAAACAACATAATTTACAGAAATTAAATGTAAATAAGGAAGAGGGCTATTAAAAACAGAAAACAGAGTTTTAAAACATAAAGAAGGATATCAGAAGCCCATCTGACTAATAGAACTGCTGAATGAGAGATAATAAAATCAAGAGAATTGCCAAAAAAAAAATTTCAGGAATATTTCCAGAATGAATTTTTTTTTAAAGTTTCCACATTAAAATGGCCCAATATGTACACTGTACAATGAATGAGAAAATAAACAAAAGGCATGTCATCATAAAATGTTTAAAAAACATGGATAAAATGAAAACCTAAAAGCAACCCATAAGAAAATGGAGCTTACATAAAAATCATCAGAAATCAGAACAATAATGGATCTTCAACAGCGTAAAAGAAGCAATAAACCAAAATCCATAGCCTTCAAATTTCTGAGGACTAATTCATTCAAACCTAGCTTTCTATTTCTAGTTAAATTATCAATCCAGGTTGAGGGTAAAATAAAAATATTTACAAATGTGTAAGGCCTCAAAAATTCTACTGCTTCTGTACCATTTCTCAGGAGAATACTGAGGGGTGTGCTCTGCTCACATAAGGGAATAAATCAAGGAAGTTAGGCAAAAGATCTGAAAAAACAGGAATTTTTTCAGTTTTAAGAGTCACAGGGAACTCCCAAAATCATGGTAATATGATCTTCCAGAAAATTAGATGGACAAGTAAGCCTTTGAACTTTAAAGCAACCAGCTAAGATGAGAGTTACAGGAGAAATGTCTCTAAACAAATGGAATGGAGAAGGTATTATCTGGTATGTTTAAACATATTAAGACTATCGCCCTGGCCAGAGTGCCATGGCAACATCTTGGCTCACTGCAGCTTCCGCCTCCGAAGTCAAACGATTCCCGTGCCTCGGCCTCCCGAGTAGCTGGAAACACAGTCATGCGCCACCATTCCTGGCTAATTTTGGTTATCTTTAGTAGAGACGGGGTTTTGCTACGTTGGCCAGGCTGGTCTCAAATTCCTGGCCTCAAGTGAACCACCCGCCTCGACCTCCCAAAGTGGTAGGATTACAGGTGTGAGCCACTGTGTCCGGTCCAAGATTTGTTTTGTAATTATATCCTTGTACTTGGAAACAGAATATTAAGCAAAATTTGAAAGTAAGGCAATTACTGATGCCAAGAAACAAAAAATTAGGCAAAAAAAGTAATCATAGAATCTGATATGGTTCACCTATGAACCATAATTATATTGTTATGTGGACAATGAGCGTTGATCTTTTAAAAAATGTAATCAAATGATATATATTTGGAAGGTAGCAGGAAGGGAAATATGTTTGAAGTAGTAGTGGTTGTGCTACTGTAAGGATGCTAAATATTCATTTTCCATAGGTGGAAGTTAATTATTAAAGACATACATAGTTTTCAATAATCTAATCATATGTGAAGGCATATAAATTAAGCCAGCTCCTTGCTCCATCTCTGTTCCAAAGTTCTGATCCCTGAAGGCAAATACTTGTAAATTTTTAAGCTATTGATTCCCATTTGTCTCCACTTTTCTAAATAATATATTCACTTTCCTTTTTCAATCTTAGGCATTGTTAAATTCTTCAATAATTGATTTCTGTTTTAAAAGTGAGAAGGAGAAAAATGGAGATGGGATAGCAAGAGAGGAGGAGAAACACAAAAGTTGAAAAATTGGTAAGAATGAACAAAAATTAGAATGGAGAGAAGAGAAAGTTTCCTAAGGGTATGCTGACACCTGGCTCACAAGTAGATTTTTATTAATTCATTCATTAACTTGAGCTTTTAGTAAATACCCATTTTGTGACTGGTACTGATGCTCAGTGCTGACCAAGACTGGGAGAACAATTAACAGTGGTTGTAAAGTAGTTTGCATACCAGAACTCCACATAAAATTCTACAAGGTAAGAATAATAAATCCTCATTTTATGAGCATGAAAACATTATCAGAGAAGAGAGAAGTAATCTGACCAAGGTCACAGAGCTTATGACAGGCACAGCAGATAATTAAAATTAAATCTATCTGGTTCCCAGTTCCATGTTCCTTGCAAAGTAAAATGCAACCTAAGGAAGCAAAAGATTAAAACCATAGCACTTCACTTCCTCCAAAAAAAAGGTGGGGAGGTCAGGTGGGAGTTGAAGGAGAAAAAGGACAAAAGAAAGGAGAGGGAAGAAAGAAAGAAAAGTGAACAAAGAAAGAGATTAAGGAAAGAGGGGATGAGAGTCCGGGCATGGTGGCTCATGCCTATAATCCCAGCACTTTGGGAGGCCGAGGCGGGTGGATCATCTGAGGTCAGGAGTTCGAGACCAGCCTGGTCAACATGGCAAAACCCCGTCTCTACTAAAAATACAAAAATTAGCTGGGCGTGGTAGCATGCGCCTGTAATCCCAGCTACTTGGGATGCTGAGACAGGAGAATCGCTTGAATCTGAGAGGCAGAGGAGGTTGCAGTGAGCAGAGATCACACCACTGTACTTCAGCCTGGGCGACAGAGCAAGACTCCATCTCAAAAAAAAAAAAAAGAGAGAGGAAAAATAGGAAGTAGAGGGGGTGTTCGATATTTGTAATGCCACTTTAAACCTTGTGAGAGAAAGCAAATGATGTTGAAAGCATATGACAGCATCTGAGATGGTTAATACTGAGAGTCAACTTGATTAGATTGAAGGATACAAAGTATTAATCCTGGGTCTGTCTGTGTGGGTATTGCCAAAAGAGATGAACATTTGAGTCAGTGGGCTGGGGAAGGCAGATCCACCCTTAAACTGGTGGGCACAGTCTAATCAGCTCCCAGTGAATATAAAGCAGGCAGAAAAATGTGAAAAGGAGAGACAGGCCTAGTCTCCCAGCCTACATCTTTCTCCCATGCTGGATGCTTCCTGCCCTCGAACATCGGATTCCAAGTTCTTCAGTTTCGGGACTCAGGCTGGCTCTCCTTGCTCCTCAGCTTACAGACAGCCTATTGTGGGACCTTGTGATCGTGTAAGTTAAAACTTAATAAACTTTCCTTTACATACATATATATATATATATATATATATATATATATATATATATATATATTTTGAGGGACATGTATATATATACATTCTGTCCCTCTAAGAGAACCCTGACTAATACAGCATCCAAGTGTCAATCTCCCCTTGGAGCTGTGGGAAGACAAGGAATACTGGCATTAGGAGGCAGACAGTGTGTGGAGTGGCTAGAAGCTGATGGCTCTGACATCAAGTTAGGGACAAAACTAGGGTTACATAATTCTGCATACCAGACAGGATATTTGGAAAATCACCCTGGGTGAATTTGAAGATTTCCTAATTAAAGTTACTGAAGCTTTTTTCCATGCCAAGCATTTGGATTTCTCTGCTCTTCCGGGATGACAAAGAACCTGGATGAACAAATATGAACTGATAAAATACTAGGCATAACATAGACTACTTAGACAACTTATAACAAGTACTGGATCTGACTAAAAATAACAGATGTATTTTTTTTCTTATTCCTAAGGTAAAAGCAATAGCAGTAGAAATTAAATTTTTATATTATATTACATATAATACTGCTTTAGTTCAAATTTTCAGGAAAACTGCCTGAGGCAAAGCTTGCCTGCTAAAGCTTGGTGTGTGTGTGTGTGTGTGTGTGTGTGTGTGTGTGTGTGCGCATCTTGGACAGCAAGATTGAGGAATAAAGAGATGTGAGACAAGGAAGGAAGGTAAATACAAGTGGCCTCAGCTGACCTGGCCACAGCAGCGTGAGGAGCCAGCCAGCTGCTCTACCTCTATGGCACATCTCCATTCATGCTGTCCAAAACCAACACACCTCGGGGCCGTTCATTGGGTAAGCAAGCAAGAAGCAAGATTTATCTTCCACGTCATTCCCATAATTGATCAAAATTCACCCCATGGAACAAGAACTCTCCTGTCTTTCAGTGTCACCTGGTCCCTCTGGCAGTCATGGGAGAGGACAGAGCCCAGAGGTGACAGTGCAGTACTCCATCCATTGTCTAGACGTGATGGAAGGAGCCAATGTGCCCTGAAGCCTCTGCACCATACATCCTGCGGTTCCCACTGCAGCAGGAGTCTGCACTGGAACCAGGCCTTGAGCACATGAAAGGGACAAGGGGTGATACTCCCAGATCTGAGTATCAGGATACTCAGATACTCCTGAGCAAGACCAAAGAGCCCTGAAGGACATAACCTGGGCTCACTACCAATATACATAGTCCTAAGATGTATATAAAAGTTAACATCTTTATTGAGTATGTTATCTCTGTGATTTTATGATAAGAAAAACAAAACATTTTCAAGGGCTTTGCAGACTCATTCACAATCTTATTCTCTTGATCTAATTTTGTATATTTTCCTATCAATAAGGATTTCTGGAAGATTAGGCTTACAGATAGGAAAAAAAATCAACATATTACCATGACTCCCATCTTAAAGAATGGAAAAATGAGGTTCATGGGAATTAATTATAGGCCACTCAGTTAGCAAGAGGATGGAGTCTAGACTAAAACACAACACCTTTCTCAAAATCAGCATTAAACAGCACAACTGCTTAGTTTTAACATTTAAAGGAAAAATGACTGCCCCATTCTTCAACGGGTTAAAGTGTTTTGGTCATTGTTATAGAATAAGCCACATGAGCCAATTCCAGGAACTGCCTTTGACTGAATATCTGCTTATGGAATCCCCTTTTCTGCTAGTTTTATTAAAAAAGAAAAAAGAGGGTCTGTTCCAAGATGGCCAAATAGGAATAGCTCTGGTCTGCAGCTCCCACAGGGATGGACGCAGAAGATGGGTGATTTCTGCACTGAGGTACCTGGTTCATCTCATTGGGACTGATTGGATGGTGGGTGCCGCCCACAGAGGGCGAGCCAAAGCAGGGCAGGGCATTGCCTCACCTGGGAAGCTCAAGGGGCCAGGGGATTTCCCTTTCCTAGCCAAGGAAAGCTGTGACAGACTGTACCTGGAAAAACGGGACACTTCCACCCAAATACTGTGTTTTTCCCAAGGTCTTAGCAACCAGCAGACAAGGAGATTCTCTCCCGTGCCTGGCTCAGGGGGTCCCATGCCCACGGAGCCTTGCTCACTGCTGGCACAGCACTCTGAGATCAAACAGTGAGGTGGCAGCCTGGCTGGGGGAGGGGCATCCACCATTGCTGAGGCTTGAATAGGTAAACAAAGTGGCCGGCAAGCTCGAACAGGGCAGAGCCCACTGCAGATCACCAAGGTCTACTGCCTCCATAGACTCCACATCTATGGGCAGGGCATAGCTGAACAAAAGGTAGCAGACAACTTCTGCAGACTTCAGTGTCCCTATCTGACAATGGTGAAGAGAGCAGTGGTTCTCCCAGCACAGCGTTTGAGCTCTGAGAACAGACAGACTGCCTCCTCAAGTGGGTCTCTGACCCCCATGTAGCCTAATTGGGAGACACCTTCCAGGAGGGGCTGACAGTCACCTCATATAGGCATGTGCCCCTCTGGAACGAAGCTTGCAGAGGAAGGATCAGGCAGCAATATTTGCTGTTGTGCGATATTTGCTGTTCTGCTGCCTCCGCTGGTGATACCCAGGCAAACAGGGTCTGGAGTGGACCTCCAGCAAACTCCAACAGACTTGCAGCTGAGGGACTTGACTGTTAGAAGGAAAACTAACAAATAGAAAGGAATAGCATCAACATCAACAAAAAGGATGTCCACACCAAAAACCCATCTGTAGGTCACCAACATCAAAGACCAAAGGCAGATAAAACCACAGAGATGGGGAAAAATCAGAGCAGAAAAGCTGAAAATTCTAAAAACCAGACCACCTCTTCTCTTCCAAAAGATCGCAGCTCCTCGTCAGCAATGGAACAAAGCTGGACAGAGAATGATTTTGACGAGTTGACAGAAGTAGGTTTCAGAAGGTCGGTAATAACGAACTTCTCTGAGCTAAAGGAACATGTTCAAACCCTTGAAAAAGGGTTAGACAAATGGCTAACTAGAATAAACAGTGTAGAGAAGACCTTAAATGACCTGATGGAGCTGAAAACCATGGCAAGAGAACTTCATGATGCATACACAAGTTTCAACAGCCGATTCGACCAAGTGGAAGAAAGGGTATCAGCAACTGAAGATCAAATTAATGAAATAAAGTGAGAAGGCAAGTTTAGGGAAAAAAGAATGAAAAGAAATGAACAAAGCCTCCAAGAAATATGGGACCATGTGAAAAGACCAAATCTATGTTTGATTGGTATACCTTAAAGTGATGGGGAGAATGGAACCAAGCTGGAAAACACTCTTCAGGATATTATCCCAGAAGAACTTCCCCAACCTAGCAAGGCAGGGCCACATTCAAATTCAGGAAATACAGAGAACACCACAAAGATACTCCTCAAGAAGAGCAACCCCAAAACACATAATTGTCAGATTCACCAAGGTTGAAATGAAGGAAAAAATGTTAAGCACAGCCAGAGAGAAAGGTCAGGTTACCCACTAAGGGAAGCCCATCAGATTAGCAGGAGAACTCTTGGCAGAAACTCTACAAGCTAGAAGAGAGTGGGGGCCAATACTCAACATTCTTAAAGAAAAGAATTTTCAACCCAGAATTTCATATCCAGCCAAACTAAATTTCATAAGTGAAGGAGAAAGAAAATCCTTTACAAACAAGCAAATGCCAAGAGATTTTGTCACCACCAGGCCTGCCTTACAAGAGGTCCTGAAGGTAGCACTAAACATGGAAAGAAACGACCAGTACGAGCCACTCCAAAAACATGCCAAATTGAAAAGACCATCGATGCTATGAAGAAACTACATCAATCAATGGGCAAAATAACCAGCTAACATCATAATGACAGGATCAAATTCACATATAACAATATTAACATTGAATGTGAATGGGCTAAAGGCCCCAATTAAAGACACAGACTGGCAAATTGGATAAAGAGTCAAGACCTATCAGTGTGCTGTATTCAGGAGACCCATCCCACATGTAAAGACATACACTGGCTCAAAACAAAGGGATGGAGGAAGATCTACAAAGCAAATAGAGAGCAAAAAAAAACAAAAAAAAAAACAAAACACAAAACAAAACAAAAAAAACAAAACAAACAAACAAACAAACAAAAAGCAGGGACTACAATCCTAGTCTCTGATAAAACAGACTTTAAACCAACAAGATCAAAAGAGACAAAGAAGTCCATTACATAATGGTAAAGGGATCAATTCAACAAGAAGAGTTAACTATCCTAAATATATATCCACCCAACACAGGAGCACCCAGATTCATAAAGCAAGTCCTTAAAGACCTACAAAGAGACTTAGACTCCCACACAAAAATAATGGGAGATTTTAACACCCCACTGTCAATATTAGACAGAACAAGGAGACAGAAGGTTAACAAAGACATCCAGGAATTGAACTCAGCTCTGCACCAAGCAGACCCAATAGACATCTCCAGAACTCTCCACCCCAAATCAACAGAATATTCGTTCTTCTCAGCACCAGATTGCACTTATTCTAAAATTGACCACATAGTTGGAAGTAAAGCACTCCTCAGCAAATGTAAAAGAACAGAAATCACAACAAACTGTCTCTCAGACCACAGTGCAATTGAATTAGAACTCAGGATTAAGAAACTCACTCAAAACTGCACAACTACGTGGAAACAGAACAACCTGCTCCTGAATGACTACTGGGTAAATAACGAAATGAAGGCAGAAATAAAGATGTTCTTTGAAACCAATGAGAACAAAGACACAATGTACCAGAATCCTTGGGACACATTTAAAGCAGTGTGTAGAGGGAAATTTATAGCACTAAATGCCCACAAGACAAAGCAGGAAAGATCAAAAATCGACACCCTAACATCACAATTAAAAGAACTAGAGAAGGAAGAGCAAACACATTCAAAAGCTAGCAGAACCAAGAAATAACTAAGATCAGAGCAGAAATGAAGGAGATGGAGACATGAAAAACCCTTCAAAAAAATCAGTGAATCCAGGAGCTGGTTTTTTGAAAAGATCAACAAAATTGATAGACCACTAGCAAGACTAATAAAGAAGAAAGGAGAGAAGAATCAAATAGATGCAATAAAAAATGATAAAGAGGATATCACCACCGACCTCACAGAAATACAAACTACCACCAGAGAATACTATAAACACCTCTACACAAATAAACTAGAAAATCAAAAAGAAATGGATAAATTCCTCAACACATGCACCCTCCCAAGAATAAACCAGGAAGAAGATGAATCTCTGAATAGACCAATAACAGGCTCTGAAATTGAAGCAATAATTAATAGCCTACCAACCAAAAACAGTCCAGGACCAGATAGATTCATAGCCGAATTCTAACAGAGGTACAAAGGGGAGCTGGTACCATTCTTTCTGAAATTATTCCAATCAATAGAAAAAGAGGGAATCTTCCCCAATTCATTTTATGAGGCCACCATCATCCTGATACCAAAGCCTGGCAGAGACACAACAAAAAAAGAGAATTTTAGACCAATGTCCCTGATGAACATCGACGTAAAAATCCTCAATAAAATACTGGCAAACTGAATCCAGCAGCACATCAAAAAGCTTATCCACCACGATCAAGTTGGCTTCATCCCTGGGATGCAAGGCTGGTTCAACATACAAAAACCAGTAAACGTAATCCATCACATAAACAGAACCAAACACAAAAACCCCATGATTATCTCCATAGATGCAGAAAAGGCCTTTGACAAAATTCAGCAGCCCTTCATACTGAAAACTCTCAATAAACTAGGTATTGATGGGATGTATCTCAAAATAATAAGTGCTATTTATGACAAACCCACAGCCAATATCATACTGAATGGGCAAAAACTGGAAACATTCCCTTTGAAAACCAGCACAGGACAAGGATGCCCTCTCTCACCACTCCTATTCAACATAGTGTTGGAAGTTCTGGCCGGGGCAATCAGGCAAGAGAAAGAAATAAAGAGTATTCAATCAGGAAAAGAGGAAGTCAAATTGTCCCTGTTTGCAGATGACATGACTGTATACTTAGAAAACCCCATCGTCTCAGCCTCAAATCTCCTTAAGCTGATAAGCAACTTCAGCAAAGTCTCAGGATACATAATCAATGTGCAAAAATCACAAGCATTCCTATACACCAATTACAGACAAACAGAGAGCCAAATCATGAGTGAACTCCCATTCACAATTGCTTCAAAGAGAATAAAATACCTAGGAATCCAACTTACAAGGGATGTGAAGGACCTCTTCAAGGAGAACTACAAACCACTGCTCAAGGAAATAAAAGAGGACACAAACAAATGGAAGAACATTCCATGCTCATGGATAGGAAGAATCAATATCGTGAAAATGGCCATACTGCCCAAGGTAATTTATAGATTCAATGCCATCCCCATCAAGCTACCAATGACTTCCTTCACAGAATTGGAAAAAACTACTTTAAAGTTCATATGGAACCAAGAAAGAGACAGCATTGCCAAGTCAATCCTAAGCAAAAAGAACAAAGCTGGAGGCATCATGCTACCTGACTTCCAACTATACTACAACGTTATAGTAACCAAAATAGCATGGTACTGGTACCAGTACAGATATACAGACCAATGGAACAGAACAGAGACCTCAGAAATAACACCACACATCTACAACCATCTGATCTTTGACAAACCTGACAAAAACAAGAAATGGGGAAAGGATTCCCTATTTAACAAATGGTGCTGGGAAAACTGGCTAGATATATGTAGAAAGCTGAAACTGGATCCTTTCCTTACACCTTATACAAAAATTAATTCAAGATGGATTAAAGACTTAAATGTTAGACCTAAAACCATAAAATCCCTAGAAGAAAACCTAGGCAATACCATTCAGGACATAGGCATGGGCAAGGACTTCATGACTAAAACACCAAAAGCAATGGCAACAAAAGCCAAAATAGACAAATGGCATCTAATTAAACTAAAGAGCTTCTGCACAGCAAAAGAAACTACCATCAGAGTGAACAGGCAACCTACAGAATGAAAGAAAATTTTTGCAATCTACCCATCTGACAAAGGACTAATATCTAGAATCTGCAAATAATTCAATTAAATTTACAAGAAAAAAACAAAGAACCTCATCAAAAAGTGGGCAAAGGATATGAACAGACACTTCTCAAAAGAAGACATTTATGCAGCCAACAGACACATGAAAAAATGCTCATCATCACTAGTCATCAGAGAAATGCAAATCAAAAGCACAATGAGATATCACCTCATACCAGTTAGAATGGCAATCATTTAAAGTCAGGAAACAACAGATCCTGGACAGGATGTGGAGAAATAGGAAAGCTTTTACACTGTTGGTGGGAAGCATTAGTTCAACCATTGTGGAAGACAGTGTGACGATTCCTCAAGGATCTAGAACTAGAAATACCATTTGACCCAGCCATCCCATTACTGGGTATATACCCAAAGGATTATAAATCATGCTACTATAAAGACACATGCACATGTATATTTATTGTGGCACTATTCACAATAGAAAAGACTTGGAACCAACCCAAATGTCCATCAATGATAGACTGGATTAAGAAAATGTGGCACACATACACCATGGAATACTATGCAGCCATAAAAAAGGATGAGTTCATGTCCTTTGCAGGAACATGGATGAAGCTGGAAACCATCATTCTGAGCAAACTATCACAAGGACAGAAAACCAAACACCGCATGTTCTCACTCATAGGTGGGAACTGAACAATGAGAACACTTGGACACAGGGCAGGGTACATCACACACCAGGGCCTTTCAGGGAGTGTGGGGGCCTGGTGGAAGGATAGCATTAGGGGAAATACCTAATGTAAATGACGAGTTGATGGGTGCAGCAAACCAACATGGCACATGTATACCTATGTAACAATCCTACACGTTGTGCACATGTACCCTAGAACTTGAAGTATAATAAAAAATAAAATAAAAGAAAAAAGAACACCCATTTGACAGAGCTCCATCCTTTTTCACTGTAATAGAACCCTGTAATAGGCACACGGCTGCTAAGAATAGAGAATAAAATTCCCTGTCTCCTAGCAATGAGATGTGTGCATGTGACTAAGTTTCCATCAGAAAATCTGGGCAGAAACATTTAGGGGAAGTTCCCAGATGCCTTCCTCAAATACACCTGGCACTCCTTCTCCTTCAGCATTTCTTCCCTCCAGCTGGAAGAACATGGTCTGAACTTGTACTGCAGAATGACCTCAGCTGGCTTCCTCTGACCCTCCTCCCTTGATCTTTGATCTTAGGATTAAAAAAAAAAAAAAAAAAAAGTTGCTCTTTTATAAGAATAGTTCTGGGAAAAAAATTATTATTGCAGATATTTCTTTTCTAAGGCCCAATTTCCATAATCAGATTGTAGGACTCCCCAGGATAAAGACATGGGAGAGAGAGAAATACAGACAGAGACAATGATTTTGACTGGTTTACCAGTCCAAAATGTTAATAGTGCTGAGGTTGGGAAATCTTAGACTAAGCTGTGAGCTAACACGTTTTACTTCCCACACAAAAAGGACTGGTGAATGAATGAATGAATGAATGAATGATGTTTAGCCAATTCTGTAAACACTGTCAACAGTCCTAACTGTCCTCTCCGTTTTACCACTGGTTATATTACACTGCACACTTCACCACTCTAGGGCCTTGGCCTCCTCTCTATCATGTAAGAAAGCACGATGAAATGATTTCAGCTTAAACATTCTGGAATTGAGTGGAGTATAGGTAAGAATTTGGTTACTTAAAGCACAAACAGTTATTTTTATGGTGGTCCTGTATATAAACTGTTCCTAGGCACATCTCCCATGAGGAACACTTCACAGGGATGGCCACAGGTGTTGCGGCCCTGTGTGTTGGCAAATGACCCCAGATGCATATAAGGTCATCGACCGGTAGGAATATCAACAGTTAGAAAGGTGGGAATTGTAGAAAATATCTACTACTGCCCTTTCAACAGCTATCTTAGCACTGCTTTGTCCTTTTTAGTTTGGGGTTGTAGATTTCAACAGTAAAATTCCATTATCAAAATTTCACATTAAGTGAGGAGAGCAATGAAAGGCTATAAGGAAGGAAAGAAGAAGCAAATGGTGCTGGCATTGAAAGCTGTCTGCTTGTGAAGCAAACATGATAACCAGCATTATGGAAATCATCATAAAAATTGTCAGCTTGGTAGTTAAAAGAGAAGGCTGGGTGGTAGTGCTGCCACTTAGCTACTTTCAAGTCACATGGCTTAGTCCACAAACTTAATGAATCTCAATTTTCAGTCACAAAAATATACCTTTTCTTTTCATTTTACTTTACTGCACAGTTTCAGCACTCTGTGAATGCTGACATTTTGTTATCCTTCAGTATTGCTTTATAATCAAGAAGTCCCTCTGTCACATCACATAAACGTGACCAGAACACTTGCAAAAATGCAGAAAAATGCAGTCTGTAAGTCAAGTCACTATCTTGTCTCTTGTGAAATTACCCAGGTCACCACTCACACAGCTCATGAAAGTCTAGACTATGTTTACAACTATGCCAAGTCCGTGAGTGAGGGCTGGGCATACCTTACACCATTAAACTCAAATATCCCAAAGAACTATTTGGCAGAATACATTCTGATATTTCTTTAAAATGTAGAAGTATAGCTGACTGAAAATTTTCCATTACTTTATTTTCACTGGAATACAACCTGTCTAAAATTCAAAATCCTCACTCTTAAACAATGCTTCATCTTTTCTTATATTTGCAAAGGATTGCAAAGAAAAAATAAAATAGCCATTGGTGGGTAAAATGTGAGATTGATTCTCAGGCATGGGGTGATTCATTATTTCTCAAGAATTACTTAATTAATGTTTTTAATAATGAACTCATTGCAGTTTTGAGACTTAAAAGCTAAATTGTGAAAATAACTGATAAACTAGAGAAAACCTAAAATAAATATTTCTATCAATTCTGTTTACTGCTTGACTTGAGAAATAGGGTTCTTCTTTATGAAGGAATTTATCAATTAGAATTAGGAAAATTCCTAAAAGCTTAGTTCTGTGGTTACCAAAAATTCAAAATTAATTATTACTAATAATTTATCATTCTTTCTTCCAACTCTTAATACACCGATTGATACATATTAAGTTTTAGGTATTATAATTTATATAGATTTTTAAAAATCTTCAAATGCAATTCAGTTTTATGTTGAAGAAATTTTCCTTTCAGTTGAACTGAATAAGGTGACAATCTGTCCCGTTTGCCAATTATTTGTGATTTTAAGTTTCGCCTCACCTTCAGTCTTATTTATGGCTTTTCAGCTATTCATTGTTGCCAAAATAAATACAAAGAAAAATTTTATCCTAACTTAATCAATTTTATTACTAACAATACTTGAAAAATAATTAGAAAGTTCATTTTAATGCAAAGGCTAAGAAGAAGCATTATCTATTTGTTCTTTCCTATACTTCAAATATTTTCTCTCCATATCATGAGGTCCAACATCAACCTACAACAAACTGGAAACATTTAATGAAATTAACTTACAATAACATAATGCTGAAATTTAAAACACTGAGACTCAAAAAAGCCCAAATTCAATTTCAAAAAGAAACACACACACACACACACACACACACACACCCCTAAATGTTTCTCTGAGTAAGGATGCTGTCATTTCTCATAAAATGATCCCTCAACTCTCCATGGAAATGACAGTATTCAAATACTTCTGACATTCTGATGAATACATGATGAGCACTGAAAGGGAAATCCAAGGTGAAGGAAATAACTTACAAGTTCTTTTAGTTGTTATAAAATCGAAGTGTGTCACATGGTGACCACCTGTTCTCCATCTCCAGTGAGGATACAACAGAAGAAAATGGACTGAAGCTGAGATATTTAGGTTAATCAGAGAGAAGAATTTTTCAACTCTTTAGTATATCGGGTTATACTTGTAGTCATGAGGTAATAACAATTAATGAATGTGACCAAGTGAGCCAAGGGTCTTCTTCCTGAGAGCTCAGTCATGCTGTACATGGAAAACCAGAAAGAAAATGTGCTTTTATTTTAAGGGCAGGCAGCACTCAATAGCTAATGTATTTGGAAATTATGGTTACTGACTAGAAACCTGATATTTTCTTTAAGAGTTTTCTAGAAGCATCTATAATGTCATCTTCACGAATGCCACTATCTTCATTTGGCTCTAGACAGATATCATATGTAATCAGTTCCATTTGTATTTATAAGAATGGTTTCTTTATACCAAACTCTCTAAACACAGACCTAACCCACCAGATTTTACAGCATGAATTAAAGATAAGACCAGAGTGTCACTTTTTAGAAACTGACTTAGTCTAACACAATGGATTTTTTAGTAAATACAATATTCAAGAAGAAGACTGCTATTGATTATAATTTGATCCCATCAAGAGCTACCAAAGCATCTGGACTTCAGAACAACAGACTTCTCTATATTTCAAAATGACTGCAATAATTTAGGGCTTTAAAATAGCTAAACTATTTTAATTAACACCCACCTGATCTTCCTCAAGGTCTTGTTCCTTCTCCCTATTCATTATCCATATTTTAGTTAGAATAATTAATTTAAAATACAGTTTTTACTATTACATTTCTTAGTATAAACAGTTTCCAAAGCCACAGAATGAAATTCAAACCTCTTGGCAAGGCAAGCAAGGCTTTCCGTAAATGTAGCAGTTCCATGTCTTTTTCGTCTCATCTCCAACACTTGGAACTTCATATTTTATGCTCTACTAATACCAATGTGCTTGAAGTTCTTCTCACATACCATTACAATCTTTTGCCTACTATGCCTATGCTCTTTGCTTAGACAGCCCTCCTTTCCCCTGCTAGCTCTCACTCATCTAGCAATACCTGCCTCAAGTATCATCTTTCCAGAGACTGGACTTCCACATTAGATCAAGTGCCCTTTATGTCCACAAGGCACTTCATACCTACGTGTACCTCTAACTCGGCATTTACTATGGCACAGACATAAACTATCTGTCTCTATTGCACCCTTCAATAGTTGATGCTTTTGGCTGGGCGTGGTGGCTCACACCTGTAATCCCAGCACTTAGGGAGGCCAAGGTGGGTGGATCACCTGAGGTCAGGAGTTTGAGGCCAGTTTGGCTAACATGGTGAAACCCTATCTCTACTAAAAATACAAAAATTAGCTGGGTGTGGTGGTGTGCACCTGTAATCCCAGCTACTCAGGAGGCTGAGGCAGGAGAATTGCTTGAACCCAGGAGGCAGAGGTTGCAGCAAGCCAAGATTGCACCATTGCACTCCAGCCTGGGTGGCAAAAGCAAGACTCCATCTCAAAAAAAAAAAAAAAAAAAAGTCGATGCTTTTAAGTTATTTCCTATGACTTACTCATCTCTGAACCTATAAGGATATTAAAAAAAAATGTCTACCTGGCATGCAGACGGGTAATAAATGTTTTTAGACTGAACACTTTGAAGACTATATGAAAACAGGAGCAACCGAAGAGGGAGGAGGGACAAGGACAGAAAGACATTAGGAGCTTGCTACGGGCCACACAAACTTTTGTTCCTGTGAACAAAACAAGAGTCTTCTGACTCTTCTGTGAATAAAAACCCTATGAAACATATGTTTGAAACCCAGACAAAGCCATGTTTTTGGCAATGCTTCCCTTTTTCAAGGTTGCGTCTGTCTCACATGCCTCAGAAAAACCATCTACTCAGTTGGTCCAGAAAATAAACAAAAAGCCAGGAATTACATGTGGATAAGGAAAGGCATCTCTGACTCATCTGCCTCAAGATGCTGAGTGCAACTCATTATGAAAACCAACAGCCCCCTTGGAGAGAACCTCACAGGCGTGAAATGCCTGTGAAACAGGGGCAGCTTCCCAAGACTTGGAGTTCTCTCAAAACACACAGAACCCTCCCCCATGGCACTCTAAACACGATACTATTTTAGCTAGTATCCTTGATAATAACAGAATAGCCCATTCTTCAGCCATAAGGACTATGTGAGAATAAAACCTACCTAAAATTAATTAACTATTAGTCCCTGCCACAGGCACAGACTACAGGTTACTTCAAGCAGCATTTTAACCAATCTTTTATTTTGAAAACATTAATCTGCCTTATAATTTAAGAAAATAAATACTGTTGGAAATAGTAAGTTATATCTATTCGATATAATGTGACAGATTATGAGTACAGCCTTTAATGACAGTCAAGCAGTCTGATTCCAAATCCTGATTTCACCACTTACTATCTTTGGGGTCCTTAAGAGGTTATTTCTCAGATTTCCTCATATGTACAATACGAATATGAATGGTACTTAATGAAGCGCTTAACAGGATGGAATGAGGTAACTTCTTGTAAATTACTTAGTACATTTCTTAAAACATAAATACTCAATCCTCATGGAACTTGTAGGATAATACAGAAAGCCATCAAAAAAACAATGAAACCATGAAAGGAAACAAATGCAACAGAACTTTTGAAAGATCACTGCAGCCTGGAACAGTTTGAGGGAGTCAAACTTCAACCATCAGGAGCTGGCTGAGAGAGCTGAATACGTTTTAGACCATGGAGGGACATCTCGAGAGGCAGAAACGTGGACCTTCAAAAGATGTGGCTGCCTAAGGAAAACCTGCCCACAGATTCCTCAAAATGGCTGTCATCTGGATGCCTGCTCTGTTCCTTAGTTCCTCTAAGCCTCAGCTAGTGATCTTCCCTTAGATTTTGTGCCTTATTTTTGTGTATTTGTTCTTTAATATTCCATTCCTTTCCTGACTTCACTTCCGACAGAGAACACCAACCCTGCCTATTGCCTACTGTGGCAAAGTCCAAAAGACTGGCCTTGGTTACCTGATAACATGACCCAGATCCAAGAAGCTGAACTCTAAAGAATGGTCCAGCTTGGGACCCACCTTGGGAAGGTGAACAAGGTGGGTCAAGAGTTAAGTTAAGGATATAAGAAAACCAGCACGAGCCCATGAGTGAACAAGGAGCACTGCCAAAAGTAGAAAGAGACTGAAGATAACACAGAAACTCTGTCAGTTATTAGTCTGCCTCTCATCTTCCAGAGAAAAAGAGTTTCCTGTCTTTAAATACCTATAGGTTAATAGAAACAAAGGACTAGGTTAAATCAGAAAACCAGGGTGTCCAACAGATCACTTATTAAATGTGCTAAGATGGGAAAACTCATTTAACCTCGTTGTCTTAGTCTGTTTGTGTGGCTATAACAGAGTACCACAGATTAGGTAATTTATAAAGAACAGAAGTTTATTTATTACAGTTCTGGGAAGTGAGAAGTCCAAGATGAAGGCAGTAGGAGGTTTGGTATCCTGGGAGGACTGCTTCAAGGTGGCACCTTGATGCTGCCTCCTCACTCCTCCTCTGTGTCCTCATATGACGGAAGGTATAAAAGGGCAAAAAGAAAGGACTCTCTCAATTAAGCCCTTTCATTATGGCATTAATCCATTCATGAGGATGGTGCCCTCATAACCCAGATGCCTCTCAAAAGGCCCCACCTGTCAACATTACTGCATTGGAGATTGAGAATTTGGGGAGACACATTCAGACCATAGCACTCTTTAATCTTCATTTATTTCTGTTGTAAGAGCAAGATTATAATCATCTTGTCCAGCACAATCACTTTAGTGATTCACTAAATATTTACTGAACACTTATTTTGTCGACACGCTGAGTGTGCTACTTAAAACATGACTTATGTTCCAAGGATGTTAAGTTTAAGTAGAGGAGAGGATATAACACATAAATATCTACAATGTGAAGTACAGAGTACAATAGTTAATGCCACAAGAATTTCAACAAGATGCTTTGGAACTCCGAGGAGAGAAAAGCTTCTACTGTAGTGATATTGAAACTGCACTAGGAAACAAATGAGAAAATACACAAAGAAGCATTACACCCAACAGATTCTAACACAATATGACAAGGTGACAATGGAACCACATCAGTGCCACTGTGCCCATCACCACCATTACTTTACCAGGGCCCTTCCACCTGTCCTGGAGAAGTTGCTCTTGTTCCTTCTACAGCATTACATGTTCTTCAAGAACCATATTAAATCCCTCTTCCTCTAAAAAGAGTATTAGAATCAATTATTTTATTATCTTAAAAGGTAAATTATCTGGAACAAGTTATTATTTTAAGCCTTTTTTAATAATAAAAATGGGAAATTGGTTTCCTTTGAATAACAACATCGTTTGACACGTCATAAAATGAATGGCAATTTACTTTTTTCCATATGTACTTAGAAAATTTTAGTTAACTGGCCAAAGAATATTAGGAATATACACATAAACATATATAACCCCCAGCCCACATACACATCCCCATATCCCCCACTTTGTTTTAGGTCAACTAATCCATTCTTCCCCATGCAACACTTTACAAATCCCATTTTTCTCCAAAATGAAACTCTGAATTCTCATTTTGGCACTTTACAAGAAATGAAACTATCACTCATTGACAAGTAGTGGAAGTTTTTACAGGGCCTGGGGATACACGTCAAGCTAAATTATGGAAAAGCTTTTTTTTTTTAAAAGGAAAGGCTGTTTTTCATAATAGTCAAAGACATTAAGCTGTCATTGATGTTTGGGGCGTTCTGCTCCACAATCAACTGTACCTTCTTATGTGAAATACTTACATATCTGCCTGTATGTAGCCTTCCACCATGAAGAAGTTTCTGCTACTCTGAAAACAGCCTTTTAAATAATGAAACAATTTTTAAATAAAGTACAGGGCTTGAGCAGGTAACAAAGAGCATTCTTAGAAACCTCCTTGCTGCCAGATGGGTTCTCCAGAAGCGGGATTGGATAGAGGTAGAGATGGGACTGTGATGCAGGGAGGAAAAGCCCAGGCTCACTCAGTGGGGATCTCTGGAGCTAGCACTGCCTGTGAGAATTGCCTCCTAGTGAGCTTAAATGGCTGGGCCTTTCTGCTCCTGCCCCTATCAACCACTAGATTTGGGCTGCCTGAATTATGGCCTGCCTCAGGAGGGATGTGCCCTTGGGAAGGCAGCTTTCTGCAACTGAGGAGCCCAGGAGGAGCTGACAGCTGCAGACTGTCTGTATCCATCCTTGTGAGTGGCAGGAGTTAAAAGGTCATCCTGAAGGGAAACTTGGGTCAGACATCTCTGTGTCCATCATTTAACGTCACACAGTTACACTGCATGATAGCTCACATCTTGGTCAGATGAATGCTTCAAATGAAATAGTTACGATTACCATGTAAGTACTTCAAGGATTTTTAACCTAGAAAGACTCAGAGAAATTACTTAACTTCACTTCAAAAAGTAGAAATAAAGATGAAAGTATTTGATTCAAGTAGTTTAGATAAGGGTTATGAGAGGGATCTGCAAATCTCAGAGGAGAGATCATGGAGAATGGCATTAGACCTCATTGGTTAGTTGTACATGAACCAGCCACAGGAGGGGAAGCTATAGAGAACCAGGGCTCAATTTCCACTGACCCCGGACTGAACAGTTCAAGAGCAAGGATGATCTCACTCATCAATGCCATCTCCAGTACTCAGCACGGTACTGGGTCCATAGTAGAGATGACAGAATGCTCAGTAAAGAACTTAATGCTTAGTATTTTCTGAGTACTGGAAATGCATTGAACATAAAGTCCAAACCTAATTTAATGTTCCTCCTATTATATTTTATTTCTTCTCAAAGAAGTTAAAGGACTATTGGAATCTTACCAATATTTACTGTACCATCCTGAGTACTGACATGCATTGATAAGTGAGATTATTGCATGTCAGTACTCAGCACAGTATCATGTCCATGGTAGGGATGACAAAATGCTTACAAACACAGCTTTGTATTAGTTCTTCATAATTTCTAGTGTTTTTCTTTTAAACTATCCAATTTAGTGAAGCACAGAAAGAGACCTCCTTCATTTTAAATCAAGGAGGGTCAACATAAAGTCTAAACCTAATTCAGTGTTCTTCCCACTATATTTGATTTCTTCTCAAAGAAGTTAAATGGCTATTGGAATCTTGCAAACATTTACAGTCTTATTGTTAATTTGGCCTTAATTGGGTCAGCTAGTAGAGAGATGCACTGATGAACAGTCATTTCTTAAGATTAACTTGCACATGCAATACATCAATTATTGCAATAATATGTAACCTCCAAACAGGAATGGGGCATCGCTGTGCTAAGTAAAATTAGTCCAGATACAAAAGCTAATTCTTTGTGATGATTATACAAATTAGAAGTAATAAAGAGCTATTTCTAAATCTTGTGATAATTTCAAACAAAGAGATAGCAAAAGGGAAGATCTTTCTAAATAACTAATAATTTACAAAATTAAGCAATCAGAGAACCCTACAGTTTGAAGAAAACTAAGAGGAGGTCATTTAGTCCAACTCTATAAAGAAATGTATTGTTTCCCACAGATGGTTAATTAGCCCCTTCAGGAATTTTTTTTCATACACTTATTCAAGGAAGTCTGTTCCCTGTATGACAGCTACACGTTTAGATTCAAACAAATCGATGAAATGCTTGTTTTTAAAAATGCAAGCTGTGAGATAATAACTAACAATTAGATAATACTTCAGATTTCACAAAACATTTTACAGTAGAAATTTCATTTGAATCCTTTGAAATCTAAAGAGATAGCTATGAACTGCATCCTCTGATGTTGACTTGCCCAAGGTTATCCAATCATAAAGTCCTAAAGACTTAAAATAAAAAATGTAGACCATAGGCTTCTCAGGGTCTGAGCACATCCAAGAGATAGCACCCATTGAAAAGAGGTAAATAAAGCTCAACTTGCCTTCTTGGCTGCAAACCTACCTCATCAAGAATTGCTTAGGACACAATGCAATTACGGGGAAACAGTACACCTCTTTTCCCACAGCACTTAGTTCTTTTTGTGAAAATCTGAAGAGGATTTACATTATGTAATTCAACCTCTGTCTACCTTAACTTATAATTTCATTTTGGTCATCTTATTTTGAAATATTTTATTATTAATTCTTGCAGTTGCATTCATATATATGCAATAAAATTATAAAAATTTGGTCTGAAGTTAACTTGGGAGTTATAGCTTCCAGACAATGATCCATTTCTTTTGTTTCTTACAATTAGCCAACATATGTATAGTATTTGATAAATCAATGACAAACATGATAAATAAATTTTCAAAAATATAATTTTGCAAAATCTCTTTATGAATTAGACTTTAGAATCCATTTCAAATTTATACAGACACATAGTCAAAAGCAAATAATTGGTTTTTAAAGTGAAAGAAATTATAAAAGGCATCCGATACCCCAGTGGAAAAAAATGGGATTTAAACTGATTCCATGATAAATGGAATTTGACTCTTTGCTTTGCACAATTTTTAAGGCAGTAAGGGAAGTGCTATATAAATAACCTAAAGAAATTGTTGACAGGGAAGATTCTTTAAGATTCAACAGAAGAAAATCAACTCAGTATAACCTAACCAATACACTTAGTTCCCTAAACTTTCTGGCTCTAATTGAGATACCCAATCGAAGCGGCCCAATATTTTAACTGTTTAACTCAATTTGTCCCACACCCTGTCAGGCATAAAGGGAAAGTGGCTGCTAAACTGTTTACTTTCCTCAAACTAGTGCCACAGGGAACAGCAGAGGAGTAAGGGCTTTGGGGTCAGATCGGAATATACATGCCAACTCCGCTAAATACTATCTCCCCAATCTGTGACCAAATTAGGCCATTTTTGGATGTTGCCAGTTCTAATCTGGCAACTGGGTATATGCCACATGCTCACTGGGGAAGAAAAGGTGTTCTGAGGTTAGTCTCCCCCTGCAGCCACATCTCAGGCATACGGTCAGGAGGGAGCAGGCAGGGAGAATGGGCTGGATTTAAATCTGCAAGGACCCTCACCCAAATGATTCTCAATTCAAATGTTTCCTATTTTCACTGCCATTGACCACCCAGGCTCTCTATCTACTTCTGCAGATACCCTGGAGGAGAATACCTAAGAAGAATGTGAAAATATTCTGAAATACGAATGATAAATTTCATTACGGTAAAATCATAAAGAAATAAAAGAATTGACAAGGGAGTAGACAGCAGGGTAGTGGGACGGGGTTGGGGGGACACGGAGGCAGGAGACAGCAGCTGAACTAAATATCAGGAAATGTGCCACGAAGCTCTGCTTTGCGTCAACAATGATATTTTCATGTTGGTGACTTCATCATTACATGATTTGATTTTGACTCTTATTTATCATTTTGTACCAATTTGCTAGCTAGTGAATGAGTCCTTTTGATGTCTTTTGAGTTTACTAGATTTACAGTATTGTTTATTAAAATAAATTCCTAGTTACTAAGTGTTCGCCCCCAGTTAATAAATACAACAGAGTAAAAGAAAGAATGCTACACCAAGACCTCAGATTGAATTTTGGAACAGTTAAGAATTGAAAGACTGACGTGGCTTATTCTAAACCAACAGCAAGAACAACAACAACAACAAAAATACTTTATTGCTTTTAAAATAGTTTTATTTTTAAATTGCTGTGGTTGCTACCCATTTTGCTGAAACAGTAACTTGAGCAACTCAGTGACTAGAAAAAAATCAGCTGACAGCAATCCCAGACTGATAGTTTTTTTGTTATGAAACTACACAGAGAAATAATGAGGATCCAATGGGAAGACCACATACATTGCCATAATCACATAGTACAAATGAAAAGAATGAGTGGGGGAAAATCCACTGTGTGCGGTCTTATTCTAATTATGCCTAAGGTAGCATGACTCATAAAATGAATTTTAAGGATGAACACCATGCACAGACTGTTGTCCTAATTATTAAATTCTAGCATTGAATTGCTCAGCATTGTCCAGACATGATAAACTGTCCTGGATACCAACTTCTAAAAATACACTACAGTCTGAGAACCACATTCACCTCTGGAGCTATTCTAGCATCCAACAAAGAACCAGGGAACCCCTCTACTTTCCTTCTTGTGGACCCAAAGCACTAAATCTGTCCCTATTTCTGGTATATTTCATTTGCAGTCTTCTCTATAAAGTTCTCCAAAAAAGGCTTCTAAACCCTTTAGTTTTCAGAATTTTACAATTAATAAGACAACAGATATTTTATATAACAATATCAACATTTTTACTGTGTTAAGGTCAGGGATGGTGGCTCACACCTGTAATCCCAGCAATTTGGGAGGCCAAGGCAGGTGGATCACTGGAGGTCAAGAGATCACGATCAGCCTGGCCAAAATGGTGAAGCCCCATCTCTACTAAAAATACAAAAATTAGCCGGGCATGGTGGCGGGCACCTGTAATCCCAGCTACTTGGGAGGCTGAGGCAGGAGAATTGCTTGAACTCAGGAGGCAGAGAATGCAGTGAGCCAAGATCACACACCACTGCACTCCAGCCTGGGCAACAAGAGCAAGACTCTGTCTCAAAAAATAAAAAACAAAACAAACAGAAACAAAACCACATTTATACTGTGTTGCTGTGTGCCAGGCACTAGGGATATCAAAAATGAATAAATAATCTGTCCTTCAATAGCTCAGTTGAAAGATGAACACTGGCATGTACAAAGATAAATTACAACCCAGCTTGAGGCTGTGTGTTGAAAGAGATGAGGGTTCAATGACTGTAAAAGTCCACAGAGAAAGAATCCAGGATAAGCAGCAGTCTGGTGATTCCAATCCAAAAGATCATTTTGAAATTGAAACAAAAAACAATACAAAAGATAAATGAAACCAAAAGCTGATTCTTTGAAAAGATAAATAAAATTGATAGAACATTAGCAAGATTAAGACGAGAGAAAATCCAAATAAGGTCAATTAGAAATGAAATGGGAGCTATTTTGACAGACATGACAGAAATACAAAAGATCATTCAAGGCTACTATGAACACCTTCACATGTATAAACTAGAAAACCTAGAGGAGATGGATAAATTCCTGGAAAGATACAACTCTCCTAGCTTAAATCAGGAAGAACTAGATACCCTAAACAGACAGATACCCTGAAGAGAACAAGCAGCAAGATTGAAATGGTAATTATTACCAACAAAAAAAAGTCCAGGACCAGACAGATTCACAGTTGAATTCGATCAGGCATTCAAAGAAGGATTGGTACCAATCCTATTGACACTATTCCACAAGAGAGAGAAAGAGGGAATCCTTAAATCATTCTATGAGGCCAGTACCACCCTAATACCAAAACCAGGAAAGGAAAAAACCAAAAGAGAAAACTACAGACCAATATCCCTGAAGAATATAGATACGAAAATTGTTAAAAAAAAAAAAAATACTGGCTAACCGAATCCAACAACATATCAAAAAGCTAACCCACCATGATGATGTGGGTTTCATACCAGTGATACAGGGATGGTTTAACATTCACAAGTCAATAAATGTGATACACCACATAAAAAGAATTAAAAACAAAAATTACATGATTATCTAAATAGACACAGAAAAACCATTCAACAAAATCCAGCACCCCTTTATGATTAAAACTCTCAGCAAAATTGGCATACAAGGGACATAGCTCAACGTAATAAAAGCCATCTATGACAAACCCACAGCCACCATAATACTGAACAGGAGAAAAGTTGAAAGCATTCCTTCTGAGAACTGGAGCAAGACAAGGATGCCCACTGTCACCACTCCTCTTCAACATAGTGCCGGAAGTCCTAGCCAGAGCAATCAGACAAGAGAAAGAAGTAAAGGGCATCCAAATTAGTAAAGAGGAGGTCAAACAGTCACTGCTTGCTGATGATATGACTGTATACCTAGAAAATCAGACTCCTCCAAAAAGCTCCTGGAGCTGATAAAAGAATTCAGCAAATTAATGTACACAAATCAGTAGCTCTCCTACATACCAACAGCGACCAAGCTGAAAATCAAATCAAGAACTCAACTCCTTTTACAATAGCTGGAAGGAAAAACAAACAAACAAACAAACAAACAAACAAAAACTAACAAAACAACTTAGGAATACACCTAACCAAGATGGTAAAACACCTTTACAAGGAAAACTACAACACTGCTGAAAGAAATCATAGACAACACAAACAAATAGAAACACATTCCATGCTCACGGATGGGTAGAATCAATATTGTGAAAGTGACCATAGTGCCAAAAGCAATCCACAAATTCAATGCAATTCCCATCAAAATGACACCATCATTCTTCACATAACTAGAAAAAACAATCCAAAAATTCATATGGAACCAAAAAAGAGCCCACATAGCCAAACCAAGACTAAGCAAAAAGAACAAATCTGGAGGCATCAATTAACTGATTTCAAACTATACTGTAAGGCCATAGTCACCAAAACAGCACGGTACTGGTATAAAAATAGGCACATAGACCAATGGAAAAGAATAGGGAACCCAGAAATAAACCCAAATACTTGCAGCCAACTCATCTTTGATAAAGTAAACAAAAACATAAAGCAGGGAAAGGATGTCCTATTCAAGAAATGATGCTGGGGTAATTAGCAAGCCACATGTAAGAGAATGAAACTGGATCTCACCTTATGTAAAGATCAACTCAAGATGGAAGAAGGACTTAAATCTAGGACCTGAATCTATAAAAATTCTAGAAGATAACATCAGAAAAACTCTTCTAGAGATTGGCTTAGGCAAGGATTTCATGACCAAGAACCCAAAAGCAAATACAAAGAAACAAAGATAAATAGCTGGGACTTAATTAAACTAAAGAGCTTTTCCATGGCAAAAGGAACAGTTAGCACAGTAAACAGACAACCCACAGGGTGGCAGAAAATCTTCACAATCTATACAAAGGACTAATGCCCAGAATCTACAATGAAGTCAAACAAATTAGCAAGAAAAAAAAAATCCTATCAAAAAGTGGGCTAAGGACATGAATAAAAAATTCTCAAAAGAAGGTATACAAATGGCCAACAAACATATGAAAAAATGCTCTACATCACTAATGATCCAGGAAATGCAAATCAAAACCACAGTGTGATATCACTTTGCTCCTGCAAGAATGGACACAATCAAAAAATCAAAAAATAATAGATGTTGGCATGGATGCAGTGAAAAGGGATCACTTCTACACTGCTGGTGGGATGTAAACTAGTGCAACCACTATGGAAAACAGTATGGAGATTCCTTAAACAACTAAAAGAAGAACTACCATTTGATCCAGCAATCCCACTACTGGGTATCTAGCCAGAGGAAAATAAGTCACTATATGAAAAAGATACTTACACACACGTTTGTAGTAGCACAAATTGCAATTGCAAAAAGGCGGAACCAACCCAAATGCCCATCAATCAGTGAGTAGATAAAGAAACGGTGGTATATATATACAATGGAATACTACTCAGCCATAAAAAGGAATGAATAGCATTCGCAGCAACCTGAATGAGACTGGAGACTATTATTCTAAGTGAAGTAACTCAGGAATGGAAAATCAAACACTGTATATTCTCACTTATAATTGGGAGCTAAGCTATGAGGATGCAAAGGCGTAAGAATGACACAGTGGACTTTGGGGACTTAGGGGGAAAGGGTGGGAATGGGGTGAGGGATAAAAGACTACAAATTGGATACAGTGTATACTGCTTGGGTGATGGATGCACCAAAATCTCACCAATCACCACTAAAGAACTTACTCATGTAACCAAACACCACCTGTTCACTAATAACCTATGGAAATAAAAAAATTAAAAGAAAAACATTTATACTGTGTTGCTCTGTGCCAGGCACTAGGGATATCAAAAATGAATAAATAATCTGTCCTTCAGTAGCTCAGTTGCAAGATGAACATTGGCATATGAATAGCAAAATTATAAACCAGCTTGAGGCTGTGTGTTGAAAGGGATGAGGGTTCAATGACTTTAAAAACCCACAAAGAATCCAGGATAAGCAGCAGTCTGGTGATCTGAACCCAAAAGATTTTCATTTTTAACTTTACTCCTTTTGCCAAACGACCCTCTCACCTGAAAACCATAATGAAGACAGAGAAGAAATGATCAAAGAGGAAAACTACAAGAGACCCAAGGGAAATATACAGCGGAGAAGCTGAAGAGAGGAGGCAGTGGTGATTAGGGACAGTGAAGAAAGGTAAGAACAGGGTAGATGAGGCAGGGAGGTCGCAGCTCACAGGGTATAGGCATGGCAGGCAAAGTCTATGTTGTAAATAATGGATGTGGGTGTCGGAAGAGGAACCAGAAAAAAAGAAATGACAACATCCAATTTTGCCACCTTCTGTCCCAAGAGAAACCCACAGTGACACTGATGAGTACTATCTTTAGCCAACAGACAACAAACAAACAAAACCCACCAAATAAAGAATGAATGTCCTTCCCTGAAGGGTTTTACAGTTAGAATCTAGCTAGAGAAGATGGGTGGTACAGGTGGAGAAGTTCATATGTGCAAGGAACTGATTGACAGTTAAGCACAGACGGGGTGACAGATTATTTAACCATTCTGTTATCTTTCTAGTCACTCAGTACTTCAAAAACCAAGGATAACCCCCCAAATAGAGAGGACCACATTACTCTCATCAGAGATGTGGATACCAAAAAAGTGATACAGAGCAGTGCTTCTAAAACTTGTATTATGCATTTGAATCAACTAGGAGTCTTGTTAAAATGCAGATACTGATTTGACAAGCTTGAAGTGGGACCAAAGATTCTGCATTTCTAATAAGATCCTAGTTGATGCTGCTGGCCCCAGACCATATTTTTTTGAGGCATTATTAATTTTTTTATTAAAATATTATCTACCTCAAACTAAACCACACTAAATATTTGTTCATGTCTTCTTTCCTTGAAAAAAAAAAAATTGTTCATGTCTCCTTTCCTTGCCTAAGCTAATCTCTAGAAGAGTTTTTCTGATGTTATCTTCTAGAATTTTTATATACTATATACATATATATATATGTAACTCCCCAAAGAATAAGCTTGTTTCCTTGTGTTTTAAGCAAGTCCATGGAGGCATCTTTCATTAGATGCCAGGAAGCAGTGTTGTAATGGGTGCAGATAGGATTTCAAGCAGAACATGTGCAAGATAAAATGAAAACATAATATAATTTGGCGGGGAGAGGATGCTCTTGCCACTGACTTACTCATTTCTCCTCCTCTTCCCTTTGCTCATTTTCTAATCTCCGCATGTCCCCTGGGATGAGAGCTACTTTTATGACCTCAAATGAGAGAATGTGGTATTTTAGTTTAAGTTAGAAAGAAAGCACTTACTTTAGGAAACCACTTTCCTTTCCCTCACCCACAAACAAATGAAATTAGATTTTTAAAGCAGGTCCCTGGGAGAAAACAATTGCTGAGGAATCTTTCTAAGCATTAGTAATTGGACCACAGTTTGATTGGTAAGGGTACAGAGGACCTATTCCCTCCTACTACCGCATGGAGAATGGGTGACTCGGCAGAGAGGACCAGCCAAATCGTATCAATATAACCCAAAAGGAAACAGTTGAAAGTGAGGCCTAGGAAAAGCTGGAAATAGAAATAGAAGGAATAGGCCGGGCATGGTGGCTCACACCTGTAATCCCAGCTACTCGGGAGGCTGAGGCAGGAGAATCACTTGAAACAGGGAGGCGGAGGTTGCGGTGAGCTGAGATTGTGCCATTGCACTCCAGCCTGGGCAACAAAAGTGAAACTCCATCTCAAAAAAAGAAAAAAAGAAATAGAAGGAATAGGAAATTGGCATTTATTACCATTTTTGTGCCAGGCATTCCCATATTCATATGTTAAATCTCACAACACTTGAGGATAGGTAACACCTCTTTTTTTTTTTTTTTTTTTTTCTGGGACAGAGTCTCGCTGCGTCACCCAGGCTGGAGTGCAGTGGTATGATCTCGGCTCACTGCAATCTCCGCCTCCCGAGTTCAAGTGATTCTCCTGCTTCAGCCTCTCGAGTAGCTGGGATTACAGGCATGTGCCACCACGTCTGGCTAATTTTTGTATTTTTACTGGAGACGGGGTTTCACTGCATTGGCCAGATTGGTCTCGAACTCCTGACCTCGTGATCTGCCTGCCTCAGCCTCCCAAAGTGCTGGGATTACAGGCGTGAGCCACCGCGCCCACCCTGGTAACACCTCTTAACTGTCACAACAGTTAAGGAGCTGTCCTGAAGTCATCAAGTTCACACACAGCAGAGCCAGGATTCAAACCAAGTTCTCCTTGACTTAAACCCTGTGTTTTTTCCTCTGAAACAACTGAATCTCTGGAAAGCCAGACTCAAGATACAGACAAATCTGAGGTAGGAATTTTACAGAAGACATGAGAAACCATAGTCTTTCATTTACAAGCATGAAATGCTACTGGTCATTAAAGAAAATGCAATTAACAGAATCTATCCTGAAAGTGTAATATACAGAGTAAACTTACATGAGCAAAGAAGTATAGTAAAGCACACATGGCCACATAAATTTGCTTCCCGTAGGAGTCTTGTATTTCAAGGCATAAATTAAACTCCAAATTCCCCAGAGGCTAAGTAAGGTAAGCAACATAAGAGACAAGAAAAGATATACTGGGAATATTTTAAGTGTCACTGCATCTGAGCTTTAGTTTTCAAAATGGAACTCTATTGTTTCTGATTTGATTTACTTCCTAGAACATCAAGAAAAACTGAACAAATACTATTTAATACTCCAATTCTAACAGATTTTTAAAAATACAAGAATTTGGCTTTAAGAGACAATACATCTCACAATGAGCTCACCAGTATTACCAGCTGGGACCAGTTAACCACATTTACCAAATAAGGCAAGTTTTTTCAATGCCTGAAATCTTTCTACAGTGAGCTCACTTCACTTCTCACTGGGTTTCTACAGTAATTGTAGAGGTCATCTCTCCAACTCAGAGTCTGTAAATCACCAGGCTCTTGATGCAAACGTGGGTTGCATGGTCTCTGGAGAGCATTAAATTTGGCTTCAGATTATTACTGGCTGTATATAGAAGAGAAAGACGTAAAATCAACTCTAAATACAGAACAGTAAGAAGCTGTATTAAGTGAAACCTATTAATAAAGTCAGTGAGCTGTTTACTATGATGAATATAAATGGTAGAGCTTACCAGATTTCTCTCAATATATGTGTTCAGTTGCAAATATATTGCTTGCTCTAGGGCTGAGTCTACACAAACATACCCACAGATTTCAATAATGTTGGCTAACAAATGAGTTCACTTATCTGCACAATCCCAAGGAAACAAAATAATTTTTTCTTTTTAATTGGCTGATTTTGTATAAAGTAAAAGCAGTGCATACAGACAAATCCGTGATGAGATTCACCACATTCTTACTTAAAATAACAAATGTTGTTGGGAGGATGGTTGTCCACCATATTTAGCAGTTCTGAAAACTAAATAAAAGCATCTGATTGTAAAGTGTTTTTACCTGACCTTCTCTTAAATATTTAAATACGTCCAACTACAGAAGCAAAAAGGATTCTTTATTTTTCTCTTCTATATTGCTTGTGTGCTAAGCTATAGCCCTAAACTAAGAACGTATATATTTTCTTCAAAGGTAAAAGGTTTCCATGAAAATAAAAATACTTGAAATAAAAATTTGTGGTGTCTGTGTTAAGAATATTATTTTCAGCCACAAATTTGTTCAAGGTCAAATTCAAGTTCATCTTGCTGTAAATTCTGTGGTTTTCCAACATAGGAAGCCAAATTATCAAACACATGTTATTAAGTTTGTGCTACCAGAGAAGGTATTTTGCAAAGGTAAGGACTGAAATTTGTTTCAGGTCTTAGTCCAGTGAGTGGTGAGCAAATTTTTTTTATAAGGAATCAAAGAGTTAAGCATTTTATATTTTGTGGGCCACATGCTCTCCTACACAACCACCCAACTGTGCTCTTGTAACAAGATAACAACCACAGAGAACACATAAACAGGTAAGAGACACTATATTCCAATAAAACTTTATTTATGGACACTGAAATCTGAATTCTACAGTTTCCGCTTGTCAAAAAATGTTACTCTTTATTTACCCTCTTTATGCTACTCTTTAATTACCCTCAGCTGGCCCTGTCCAGTCACCCCCCGCCACCCTGGACGTGGCCATGTCCCTCTGCCACACCCCAGGCCCTGTGACGGGCCACTGAGAAGAGCCCACTGTGGGATGGGGTTGACCTCTGTTGCCTGCCTGGGTATCTGGGCCTGGCCACCAACCGTGTTCTTCATGTGTTGATTTTATTTGACCCCTGGAATGGTGGGTCTCATCCTTCCCGTCTCGGCCGAGAGTGGCTGAGGGCTGCCTCACTGCAAACCCTCCCCCCAGTGTCAGTGATGGTCATCCTTGTCTCAGAATGACCAGGGTCCAGCCAATGTCTGACCAAGGTCAAGGGGCAGGTGCAGGAGTGGCAGGGATGGCTCCGAAGCCAGAAATGCCTTAAATTGCAACGTCCTTTCCCCATCCCCACCCCTAGCCCCAGCCCTAGCCCAATCCTCCTAGGAACAGGACCTGATAAAGCGGATGGTGGGAGGCTGGGCACCGGGTTACTAACTCCAGTACGTTCCTGTGTTGATCACTGTGAAATAAAGTCTGAAAACTTTAAAAGCAAAAAATAAATAAAAAATAAAATAAATAAAAAATCAAAGTGTAACAAAAAATAAAAAATAAAAATGTAACAACCATTCATAGTTCATGAGCCACACACACACACACACACACACACACACACACACACACACACACAGAGAGAGAGAGAGAGAGAGAGAGAGAGAGAGAGACAGTGGATTAGATTTAGTCAGCAGTTTGCCAACCCTTGCCTTAAAACATAGAAATTAACATTTGCAAATCAGGATGGAAACAAAAATCACCCTTAACTGCAGGGTAGAAAACTCATCCTGAGGTAAAAGAGAACAGAGTCATCTGAGTCCTGAGATACGTGCTTTGAGCTGGTAAGTAAGAACTGTTAAAGACAGCACAGAAGACACTGGATTCACTTTCTCCTGTGCCACACTTCTTTTGGGGACTGGATAATAACAGTGGAATTCACAGATGGGGCAATAAGCCTATCCTACCCAAAGGGAAGGAAAGGAATACATTTTAAAAAGGAAAGATACGGTAGACTGGAGAACTAATCTGGCACAAAAATAAACACATTACAATTCCAGAAGCTGCAGAATCAAGGCAGAGAATGAAAAAGGCAAAAGGTGGTGCCCCAAGGAAACAGGAGGACCAACAAAGAGGCTCATCTGTGAACTCCATGGAAAATACGGGGGCTCCAGAAGTCTGCCCTTCACTTGATGGTATTCAGTGGGAGCTTACAGTCAAAGACCTTTGCGATCTGACACAGGCCCGAGGTGTCCACACCTGCTCTCCTGCTGGTATTGTGTTGTAGTTTCCAAGCCTTGAATGTCTGGCAGGTAACAGACATTGACAGTAAACAAAATTTATCACTGCT
Source organism: Homo sapiens (assembly GCF_000001405.40). NCBI lineage: Eukaryota > Metazoa > Chordata > Mammalia > Primates > Hominidae > Homo > Homo sapiens. Next base: position 100,874,396 of record NC_000011.10, on the reverse strand, counting down.
ATGGTCTGGATGTAGTTCGTTACCACCAAAACTCATGCTGAGGTTTAATTACCAGTGTAGCAGTCCTGGGAATCAGGGCCTAGTGGGAGGTGTTTGGGTATCTCAAGAATAGATTAGTGCTGTCTATTGGGACTAGGTGAGCTCTCACTGTCATGGGAATAGATTACTTCCCACAATAGCAGGTTGTTATAAGGTAAGACTCCTTCTCCTGTTTGGTCCCTTTTTTGCACAGACGTCCAGCTCTGAACATCCGTATGTATGACACAGCACAAAAGCCCTTGGGAGAAGCCAGTGCCATGCACCTGAACATCCAAACCTGCAGGACCATGAACCTCTTTTCTTTGTAAATTACTCCAACTCAGGTATTCTGCAACACAAGACAAAGACAACTATGAACATTCTAATGTAAATAATTATTAATTATTGGCTGGTGGGTGGTTTCTCAGCACCAGCCTTTCACATTGCTCATAAGCTGTCTTCTTGAAATGCAGAGTCAAGACTGGACTGCCCTCATGAATATAGTATGTGGTTGAGGGGCATGTGCCTTAGAGTTAAACTGCCTGCGTTCAATCCCTGCTCTGGTAGTTACTATCTGTCTAATCTTAGGCAAATTACATTGCCCTTTCTGTGGCTCAGTTTACTCATTAGTAAAAAGAGGCTGAAAATAATAGGCCCTACCTCATGGATTTGTTGTAAAGATTAAATAAGTAAATATATGTGAGTCATCTAGAAGACTGCCTGACAGATGTTATTAATACCAATTATATATATCCTGATCTTCATTATTATTAAACAAAAAACTGGATGTGACACAAAACTCTCCATTATTCTACCCCAGCTGGCTATTTCATGCCTCATTTCTCACTAATTCTGCCTTCATCCTCCATTTACATACACATGCTAAACACTGGCCTGGTATTTACTCATACCGTGGGTTATATAACACACTGGTAGGTTATACAATGAGTTTCATGGGTTAGAATCAGCATTTTTTTAAATGAACTAAATTAGAGTAAAATGCAATAGAAAATACCACAATACATCCCTTGTAGAAACAGAAGTATGTTAGCACATATACTTGCTAAATTGTGATGTAAAATGTATTTCTTAATGCGGTTCATTCTCCAAAAAGAAAGAAAAAAAGGCTAAATGTAGCAGCTGCAATCATACCCGTATATATCAAGCTTCTAAGCCACATCACAAATTTCAAATTTTTATACCACTATGTCACTTCCTTTCCCTGTCTTCTCTTTTGCCAGGGATGCCATTTTCCCCTGTGCTGACTGGAGAATTTCCACCAGTCTTTATATTGCACCTGCTGGATGGTAGAACTATACAGGGATCTTTGTCAGCCTCCCCTGGTTAGCCAGAGTGAGTTGTTCCTCCCACTGTGCTTGAAAAATATGATGGGCATACTTCAGGTACATCAGTGATGCCTTTCAATTATAATTATTTATTTCTCTGGAGTTTCTTCTGCTACAATGTGTGGTCTGTGAGGGCAAGCATCATATATTAGTTTTGCATCCCCCAATGCTGAGGAATGTGCTTGTTACGAAACAGATCAACACCATTGAATCGAATGTTTTTGTATCAGTGACAACATGAGACAGATGATGGCATGCTAATCAACTTTCTCCTGACTCAAGACTGGGAAAGGAGAATGAGGTAGAAGGGCAGATCCTGTCCATATATTAAAATCATCAAATCTACATGCTAAAAAAAATCTCATTAATCTCAGCACTTTGGGAGGCTGAGGCGGACAAATCACCTGACGTCAGGAGTTCCAGACCAGCCTGGCCAACATGGTGAAACCCCGTCTCTACTAAAAACACAAAAACCAGCCAGGCTTGGTGCAGACCTATAATACCAGCTACTTGGGAAGCTGAGGCAGGAGGATTGCTTGAACCTGGGAGGCAGAGGTTGCAGTGAACTGAGATAGCACCACTGCACTCCAGCCTAGGTGACAGAGCGAGATTCTATCTCAAAACAAACAACAACAACAACAACAAAAACTCATTAATTTGGAAGAAAAAAAACTAAAACATAGTAAAAAGTCTCACCAAAAAGTCTACTAGGCAAGGAAAGGATCAAAAAGCTGTTCCTTAAGGGGCTGCTGAGATTTTATTTTCATCTGAATAAATAATATGACATGAACAATAAGAAGATAAATAATTTTACTGATCAATATAAATACACTATTTTTAAAAATGCTATAGTATCCAGATACTCTTTGGGGGCTTCATATTCAATTTTGATTGCTAAATTACAACAAGAACACTGAAAAATAGGAGCCGTCTATAGAGAACAAGAGTTAGGTAAATAGGAACAATGTTATATTAAGAATAAATGAACCAGGCTGGGTGCAGTGGCTCACGCCTGTTATCCCAGCACTTGGGGAGGCTGAGGTGGGCGGATCACCCGAGGTCAGGAGTTCGAGACCAGCCTGACCAACATGGAGAAACCTCATCTCTACTAAAAATACAAAATTAGCTGGGTGTGATGGCACATGCCTGTAATCCCAGCTACTCAGGCGGCTGAAGCAGGAGAGTTGCTTGAACCTGGTAGGCAGAGGTTGCGGTGAGCCAAGATCGTGCCATTGCACTCCAGCCTGGGCAACAAGAGTGAAACTCCATCTAAAAAAAAGAACAAATGAACCTAACAGTGATGTTCAGCAAATGCTGACACTTCCTGGTAGATTCTAATCCTGGCAGCTTTGACAAACGTGTGCTCAATACATTTTGTTCATAGAATAAACATGAAAATTGTATGTATTTCTGATGTAACAAAAAGTTTTAGTTAATTTTTATACTGGAAACAGGCTTTTTTTCTTTTTTCTTTTTTTTTTTTTTTTAAGAAACAGTCTCCCTCCGTCACCCAGGCTGGAGTGCAGTGGCGCAATCTCGGCTCACTGCAACCTCCACCTCCTAGGTTCAAGAGATTCTCCTACCTCAGTCTCCTGAGTAGCTGGGATTATAGGCATGCCCCACGATGCCTGGCTAATTTTTGTATTTTTAGTAGAGATGGGGGTTTCACCAGTTGGCCAGGCTGGTCTCGAACTCCTGACCTCAAGTGATCCACCCGCCTGTGCCTCCCAAAGGGTTAGGATTATAGGTACGAGCCACTGTGCCTGGCTGGTTTTAGTTAATTTTTATACTGGAAACAGGCTGAGGTTTATAATTTAATTTTTAAATCTATAGACAGTTCTAAATGTTTGCCTCACTGATTCATAGTCTTTAGAGGGTTTCCAATTACTTCCATGTATATTATAAAGTTTTAATACTAATTTAATACATATAGAATGTTGGTGACAGCAGTAGGAACAACCCAATAAAACACTTAAAATTCAAATGCTGGTACAATTTATTTACAACAGTACCAAAGAATAGATTATAAGGTGTACAAAAGTATTCTATTACAATTCTTTGGAAAATCCTTTTTTTTTTTTTTTTAAACCTTCTTTCTTGGATCACTCTGATAATAAACTCTGATATCTGTGTTTTCTCAACAACCAATCAACAATTACAGAATAAAATTAAACATAGAATGGCTTAACTCACTGACAGTTGCCATTTTATCAAAGTTTTGTGGTTAACATCAAATGATGAGCACTACAAATCTACCGATTCCAAATGCTTGAAACATACTCCTGTTTGTATCTGTAACTTTGAACTCTAAAACATAAGTGTGAAATACAGTGTTTCCAATTTTATTGAGTACTTGTTTGTGTTTTCCAAGGAAGTCAATATCACGTTTCCTAAGTACTTTAGAATATTTCTCACCATTTAAGTTTGAAAAGCAGAAATAACATATAGCTTCTAAACCATTTCAAGGACTACTGGAAACCCAATGACCCTGAACAAAGAACCTATAAGTAAAAATAGTAATGCGTATAGCAATGTCAGGGCCAAACTAGGTATCATGAAATACATTTAGAATAAATTCTCTGTAGCAAATTCTTCTGCAGCAGGGCAGCCAGGGAAATGCGGTAGAGGAAAGAATGTATCTACAGATAAAAGCACGAACTCTTAAACCAAGAACACCACCTTGTTATGCAGAGAAGATACAAAGTTCACAGGGAAATTGTGTCCTATGGAGACGTTTCAAGCAGAGCTTAACTCCTCACTATTGGCCCTACTGAAAGCAAGAGACCTAGAAAACTTTCTTCAGTCAATTGAGATTTCTCCCTCCTCCAGATTTACTAAAAGTAACTGGATCTATTACAGAGAAGACTTCATTGCTAGAAAACAGGCTGGACTCTCATTCAAGAGGGTTGATCACTGAAAAATGAAAATAATCTTATTGTATAGCAAGATTTCAGTCTCAAGATCTTTCACATAGATGTCAAGAATGACATAAATGAGGCTCCACTGTATTGCACAGTCAATAACTATTTATGTATGGCACTTGTAAATAGTATTAACTTAAAAAAAATGCATACTTGACCTAAAAATGTAGTAAGAAGATCTTTTGGAAAAATACAATTTTGAGGGAAGCTTCAAACATTTCTTAAGTATTGGTCTTTAGGCATCAAAATAAGGAATCATTAGGAGGGTAAAATAGTGAAATCTTATCTACAATGTAAGTACCATCAAATTATAAGAGATTATTTTCCTATCTAAGCACATAGGAACCACTTAAAGCTATGATCATCTATACATGGATGGAGGTATGCATACATTTAATATATAGTGATATACATGTATTGATTTGAATTAAAAAACTTTCCAATAGAATGGCTTCTTGATTATGTTCCTATCTACAATTCTAACTCTATGGGATTCTCCTGCCTCAGTCTCCTGAGTAGCTGCTCAGCATTTGCATTGACTGGCATGGAAACATGGAATGCAGAGATAACTACTGACTAACAGTTTCTAGGAAATGTCATTTGGTTTGTTTCTCCATTGGTGTTAATGGAGTCAGGGCTGATACCTCACAAGGACGTTGTAAAGATAGAGAAAACACACTATGAACTACAAAGAAAAAAAAAAAAAGAGGAAAGATTTACATTCCTTTAAAGGATGCAGGGATAGTATAGTGCCCAGATTATTGAATTAAGTATTAAAAGACTTGGATTCAAATTTCACCTACAGTATATATTCACCTCTTGGTGGCTGGCAATGCCCCTTCATCTTTCTGTCTGAAAAATGATGATACCTTCTACTTTATAAGAGTGCTATATCTAATAGTGTTCCATAAGTTGTATAGTGTTATTAGTTATAAGTAATGTTCATCTAGATGCCTTCTTGCTAGGTACCCCTGTGAACCCCACTTTATCAATATTCAAAAACCAACACAGATTTGTTGTTGTTGTCTCCGTGCTGATTTTTGAATATTGATAAAGTGTGACCATGAAACAAAATAAGGCAAACTAATCTACATGCATGATTACTTCATCATTTTTACAATGATACTTTAGTTACACTGACAGAAAGTATATAATAGCAATAATTATGAATAATTATAAAATAAAAACAATTAACATTTTAGTACTTACTATGTGGAAGAAACTATGCTAAACAAATTATGTGAAATGTCTAAGCTATTTCAATCCTATGAAGGTAGTTTTATTATTTTCTCCATTTTTCATATGGGGAAATTAAAGCTTAGATAAGGCAACTAGAATGCCCAAGTTTATACTTGCAGTAAGTGCCAGGGTTTGATTTCAAGTTAAGATAACAATATAGAACTTGCTGCTAATATTATAAGACACTATCTCACTGTCCAAATGAGCTCATCAGTATTCCTTAAGAAGCATTTTTAAGAAGAAGAGGAATATCTTCTGTGCACCAAATGTGCTATTAAAGAACTGTATGTTTTATCTCATTTCTGTTTAAAATCTGACTCTACTCCTTACTAGTTAGATTACCTTGGTCCATTTGATTAACTTCTTTGCACTTCAGTTTCTTTACCTATAAAATGAGTTTAACGGTTATTTAATAGGCTGGTTGTGAGGATTAAGTAAGTTTACAAGTAAAGTGCTTAAGGCAACATCTGGTTAACTAAAATAAAGGATCAAGTACTATTATTGTTAAAAAAGATGATCAAATAAAGTGAATAATTCTGCAACCTTATATACATCAGTGCCACTAACAGAAGTTATAACAAAGGGAACTACAAGTAAAGTCATGCCTCATTTATTACTCTGTTTTACTGTACATTAGATATTGCATTTTTTTACAAATTGAAGGTTTGAGGCACCCACGTGTCTGGAAAGGTTATTAGTGCCATTTTTTTAAACAATGCTCACTTTATGTCTCTGTGTCACAACTTTCTAACTCTCATAATATTTCAAAGTTTCTGATTATTATTATATTTGTCATGGTGATCTGCAATCAGTGATCTTTGACACCACTATTGTGATTGTTCTGGGGCTCCATGGTCTCACACCTATATAAAACAGTGAATTTAATTGATAAATACTGCATGTGTTCTGCCTGCTTTGCTAACTGGCCATTCTCTGTCTTTCTCTCTCTCTCTCTTCCAGCTTCCCTCTTCCCCGACACACAATTAGGCCAATTAGTAACCGTACAATGGCTTCCAAGTATTCAACTGAAAGGAAAAGTCATATGTCTACCATTTCAAATCAAAAGCTAGAAATCATTAAGCTTAGTGAGGAAGGTATGTTGAAAGCTGACAGAGGCTAAGAGCTAATCCTCTTGTGCCAGTCAACCAAGCTGTGAATACAAAAGTTCTTGAGGGAAATCAAAAGTGCTACTCCAGTGAACACACAAATGGTAAGAAATCAAAACAGACTTTATTGCAAATATGAAGAAAGTTTTAGGGGTCTAGATAGAAGATCAACCACAATATTCCCTTAAGCCAAAGCCTTATCCAGAGCACGGTCCTAACTCGCTTCAATTCCATGAAGGCTGAGAGAAATAAGGAAATTGCAGAAGAAATGTTTGAAGCTAGCAGAGGTTGGTTCATGGGGAAGAAAAGTAGCCACATCCTAACATATACGTCTCAGGTGAAGCAGCAAATGCTGATGTAGAGGCTGCTGCAAGTTATCCAGAAGATATAGCTAAAATCATAGATGAAGGTGGCTACACCAAACAACAGATTGTCAATGTAGACAAAACAGCCTTCTCTTAGAAGAAGATGCCATCCAGGACTTTCATAGCTAGAGAAGAGAAGTCAATGTTTGGCTTCAAAGCGTCAAAGGACAGGTTGAGTCTCTTGTTAGGGGCTAATGCAGCTGGTGACTTTAAGTTGAAGCCAATGCTAATTTACCATTCCAGAAATCTTAGACCCCTTAAGATGTATGTGGAATCTACTCTGCCTGTGCTCTAGAAAGGTTACAACAAAGCCTGAATGATAGCACATCTTTTTACATTGTAGTTTACTGAATATTTTAAGTGCCCTCTTGAGATCTTTTGCTAAGGAAAAAAGGTTCCTTAAAATATAGTACTACTCATTGCCAATTTACCTGATCACCCTGATGGATATGTACAAGTAGATTAATGTTCTCTCATGCCTGCTAACATAAAATCTGTTCTGCAGCCCAGGGATCAAGAAGTAATTTTGACTTTCAAGTCTTATGATTAAAAAAAGGCATTTCATAACTGATATGGTTTGGCTCTGTGTTCCCACCCAAATCTCATGTCAAACTGTAATTCCCACTGTTGGAGGAGGGGCCTGCTGGAAGGTGACTGGATCATGGGGGCAGATTTCCCCCTTGCTAGTCTCATGAGAGTGAGCTCTCATGGGATCTGGTTGTTTGAAAGTGTGCAGCACTTCCCCTTTTGTTCTCTCTCTTCCTCCTGCTCTGCAATGTGAAGAAGGTGATAGCTTCCCCTTCCCCCATGATTGTAAGTTTCCTGAGGCCTCCACAACCATGTTTCCTGTACATGGCTGTGAGTCAATTAAACCTCTTTTCTTCATAAATTACCCAGTCTCAGGTAGTTACTCATAGCAGTGGGAGAATAGACTAATACAATAAGGCTATCATTGTCATAGACAGTGATTTCTCTGATAGATCTAGGCAAGGTAAATTGAAAACCTTCTGGAAAGGATTCAACATTCTAGAAGCCATTGACAACGTTTATGATTCATGGAAGAAGCTGATTCTAAGCCTTATGGATTACTTGGTGGGGTTTGAAGACGTCAGTGGAGGAACTTCCTGCAAATGTGGTGGAAACAGGAAGAGAGCTAGAATTAGAAGTGGAGCCTGAAGACAAGACTGAATTGCTGCAATCTCATGTCAAACTTAAAGGATGAGGAGTTGCTTCTTACGGATGAGCAAAGAAACTAGTTTCTTGAGATAGAATCTATTCCTTGTGAATACTGTTGAAATGACAACAAAGGATTTGGAATATTCCATATACTTACGTGATAAGGCAGAAGCAGTGTTTGAGGGAATTGACTACAATTTTAAAAGATGTTTTCTTATAGGTAAAATGCTATCAAAAAGCAATATCGCACACTCCAGAAAATACTTTCATGAAAGAAAGAGTCAACCTATGAGGCAAACTTCACTGTAGTCTTCTTTTCAGAAACCGCCACAGCCACCCCAGCCTTCAGCAACCACCACCCTTATCAGTCAGCTGCTATCAACATCGAGGCAAGATCCTTCACCAGAAAAATGAATGCAACTCACTAAAGGCTCAGATAATTGTTAGCCTATTTTAGTAATAAAATATTTTTAATAAGGTATGTACATTGATTTGTTGACATAACACTATTATTGCACACTTAAGAGGCTACTGTATAGTATGAATATAACTTTTACATGCTCTAAGAAATAAAAAATATGTGTGACTCATTGGGATATTTGTTTTAGGCCAGTGGTCTGGAACTGAACCTACAAAATCTATCTCCAAGGAAGCTACGTATATACAGATCTTTTACCTCCTTGGTTAACTTTGCTCCTAATTTTATTATTGCTATTATAAAGGGGATTGTTTTCTCAATTTTCATTTTGGATAATTTATTATTAGTATTATACTGGAAAGCTGCTTGTTTTCATTGATTTTGTATCCTGCAGCTTTGCTCAAGTTGACTGAGGCATTTGTAATACTTCTTAAATTCTCTAAGCCATTTTTATTTTGAGACAAGTTAGACTGCAGTCACTTTTCACATGACAGAAATCTAAGACTGAAACAGGAATTGTGACAACTATATATAGATTTTTTTGGATATTACATGCTTAATTAACTGCATGTATAAGGAATGTTTAAAAATAATAAACGAATGTTCAGAGACAGAAGCAAACTCTACTATGGACAGAACAAAGGGACCAGAATTATCAGTTTCCATTACAGTCTTCAACATGAAAACAATATAAAGAAATCAAGCTCTATTATAAAATGACTAGCAATATATTGTTGATTTCTATATACATACCACAGAAGAATGTTCATATGATTTTTATTAACGTCTTATTAAAAATAAAAACCAATGTCTCACAAAACATTTCTCATAGAAATAAAAATTTAACTTTTATGGGCAGTATTTCCCAAGTCTGTTATCTCTAATGAAACAAGTTACCATTAAGTGCCTACTGTGTACTGGGGACCCTGGACATCAAGGGGTATTTCAAAAATAAGGGAAACGTATTAACTATGCTTGGTTCAAGGGGTAAGTTTGGGCATATTTGAAACATTTTGATAACGAAGATATTTCACACTAAACCATTTATTTGTTAAAGGTAAAGAAAATGAAGTATTTCACAACAGAGTTGCTCTAGGGAGTAGAAAGGCTTCTGGTCTGAGGAACTGAGTTCTGATCTTCACTGGGCCACGTCTCTTCCCAGTTTGTTTCTGTATAATACACATCTATATGTGGAAGATGAGCCTTTGGCCTCCTTAGCGCAAGTTCCATCACTAAACATATGCAATGCTCTGGTGTGTATGTATGTTTATAAACATACATTTGTTTATCCACAGTGTATTATCTTTGATTAGAAACTCAGACATAGGCCAGGTGCGGTGGCTCACGACTGTAATCCCAGCACTTTGGGAGGCTGAGGCGGGCGGATCACTTGAGGTCAGGAGCTTGAGACCAGCCTGGCCAGTGTGAAATCTTTTCTCTACGAAAAATACAAAAATTAGCCAGGCATGGTGGCGGGCGCCTGTAGTCCCAGCTACTTGGGAGGCTGAAGCAGGAGAATCACATGAAGCCGGGAGGTGGAGGTTGCAGTGAGCCGAGATTGCGCTACTGCACTCCAGCCTGGGTGACAGAGTGAGACTCCGTCTCAAAAAAAAAAAAAAATCCTCAGACATAGAGCTCTATCTATACTTCAGAGTCAGCCGGTCTATGTAGCAACAGGCATATAAAGTGCAGAGAGGACTTAAAATTGATTCTCTCTGAGAACAAGGAGGTTTCCAACACGGTCATGGAAATGGAAATAGAGCTGTCAATTTATTCAAAAAGCATCCAAAAAAACAATTGTGATTCATCTCACTCTATATTATTTGGTTGATGCAAAAGTAATTGCAGTTTTTGCCATTACTTTTGCATAATGCTAATACGACGATTACAGATATATTCCTATAGTGGAAATTCATAGAGTTGACATCAAGTGTTCTGAATACCTGCTTTCCACTAGTATTCTAGAATTTAAACCAGCAGTGTGTCAGGAGAAACCAAACATTCAGTCTAAGCCTCTGACACATGTAATATGTCTGGCCTGTAACACAATTTCATTCTGAATATACCATCTTACTAAGAAACTTTAAATAAATACTTCCTTGACAACTGTTTATAGATAATTCTTCTAATCTCCAAGTATCTGAAACAGCAGAACCCATTTCCTTCTGTCCTTCAGTTCAACAACCCCATTACTAATCTTTTCTAATGCCTCTCACAGATGAACAATGCTTCTTTCCCACAACTGTAACTTACCAAGAGCCTCACTTTCACAGCAAAGTATCAGGTGTCTCAAAGTGCCATAGAATACACTACAAAGGAAATGTTTGTGGTCCATGGATCTTATCCACTGCAGTTAAGTAGTATCATCTGGTTGTTAGGCAAGGGCCACTTTGACTCAGCATTTTCCACTCTGCTTTGCCTGTGTGGACCAAGCTGAAGAGGTCGCTGACTGCAGTGGAAGATTCTACCTTTAATCAACGGCCCTCCCTTCCAGCTGGCTAATCAGCCCAAACATGCTTGTGGGAAATCTCCAAGGCAAAGGCTGAAAAGCAGCAGAGTGTCACTTGTAGAATTAACTTTATGCACCACATGAGAAAATACCTAAGTAAACAGGAAGTAAAGTAATAGAAAAAAAATAAGTACTTTCAAGTATGTTTATTTCACAATGCCAAAAGAAAATTGATCTATACATATATTTCAGAAGAACATGCCTTTTTTTTGTTGTTGTGTGTGTGTGTGTGTGTGTGTTTTGTGTTTTTTTTTTTTTTTTGAGACGGAGTTTCGCTCTTGTTACCCAGGCTGCAGTGAAATGGCGTGATCCTGGCTCACTGCAACCTCTGCCTCCTAGGTTCAAGCAATTCTCCTGCCTCAGCCTCCCGAGTAGCTGGGATTACAGGCATGCACCACCCCGCCTGGCTAATTTTGTATTTTTTTTAGTAGAGGATGCGGTTTCTCCATGTTGGTCAGAAGGCTGGTCTCGAACTCCCGAACTCAGGTGATCCACCTGCCTCAGCCTCCGAAAGTGCTAGGATTACCGGCATGAGCCACCACACCCAGCCGAACATGCTTGTTTTTAATTCACTATTCACTTTACTAAGCAAGAACTACTTGGCAGCTTAGAAACAATTTAGTACTAAATGCATCAGACAGATAAAATACACAGAATCACCACCACCAAAAAACTAAATGCAATAATATTAATGCTCAAGACCGGCTTCATTTCATCACAAATTTAACCTTCCAGTGAGCAGGCAAAGGCATAGTATACTGTCGGGTGTTCTCAGTTGATCTGTTCTGCAATTGAGATGTTTACAAAACAAAATAAAATGTTATTAAGACTCCTGCCACTGCAACTGTAAGATAACTTGAACCTCCAAATAAGAAAAAGATTTCCCAAACAGATGAAACTTACTCTTTTTGGGGGCTAGAAAACTTGGAATATGTGTACTAGGGAAAGAATTTTTCACAATGCTCTAATTCAATTTTTTATAAAAACACCATTGATGAAGTGAAAGCTTGTTAAGTCAAGGCTCTGAAATAAAATGGCTTCATCTGGGGAACATGTTGACTCTTTCAGATCAGCTCTGTGATTTGGTGCAAGTCACCCCATCATTTTCCTCATTTGTAAGCAGGTATAACACTAGTACCCACACCTCACAGTTTGCTGTGACTATTTAATTAGGTCACAGATTTTCACTGAAAGTCCCCGCCAATAAAAATTAGCTATTATTAATTTTGAAAAGACTCTCCTTGTGCTAGGATACCATGTTCTTGTCATTTCTTCTTTCTTTTGTTCCTTCCTTCTCAGCCTCCTTTCCTAACTTTCTTTCCCCAAACATCAAGTGTTGAGAGAGTTCTTTGGTTATAAACATCCTGGGTCCTCTTCCCGTCTCACTCTATTCTTTCTCAAAGGGATCTAATCTACTCCCATGATTTTAATAAGCACCTAGAAGATAGAATTCCCAAATGTTTGTTTCTAATTCAGATCCGAATACACACCTGCTAACTCAACATCACATGGATGTCTCAGAGGAGCCTAAATTTCACTCATCATGACTAAAAACTCAACTTACCATCATTGTCATCCAACATAAATGTGGCCTATATCAGTAGGTGGTTCAACAACCACCCAGTTATGCAACCTGAAATCCAGAGGGACATTCCCGAAACCTTCTCCTACTAACTTTCCAGTATGTAACCCACTTCTTACTGTTGTCATTTCACCTCTAAAATAGCTTTCATACATCTCCTTGTCCCCAGTTACTTTCACCCTCCTTATCTAAAGCCACTAACTGCCAGCCCCAAAACTGGTTTGCCCAGGTAGTCTGGCCTCCTATCCATGCATGATATGCATCTAGAATGACATTTAAAATACAAATATGATATCACTCTCCCACTTACGTTTCTATTGCTTATCACTGCCCTTAGGCTAGGGAGTAAAATACTGTGAGTCATTTATAAAGCTGCACACGTGGCCTCTACCTCCAGGGTCCACTGTGCTCCAAACATACTGGACTTTCTTCCACTAAAATGCCAGGCTCTTCCCTCCCCGACCAAGAAAACCTTCATTCATTCCCATATTCCATTCCCTTTTCTGGAATATTTGTAAGTTTTTTTCCCTTCCCACCATTGTGTCCCCTTTTTCTTCCTCATGACGTAGGTCTCTACCTAACACTTCTTGCAGAAGACATTTGTTGATTTCCTGGACAAGTTCAGATCCATTAATGATGCCCTTGTGAAGCACTTTTGCATCGCAATCCCCAATACACTTGTAATTACTTCTATGTCTGTTTTTCATGAAAGATAATAGGGACATACACACAGGAATCATCTCTGACTTGTTTACAGCTACATCCGTTCATCTTATCAAACACCATGCATGTCACGTGTGAGCCAACCATGAGACTGATAAATATTTGCTGAATTAATTAACATAAAAATGGTTCTGATTTTAGTCCTTCACTCGAAAATTGCTCACAATTGGTGGAGAAATGCACATAAAATTCTAATCAAGGCAAACTGTGTTAACTTCTTATGGGGAATATGTGTAAAGGCTATTCAATCCTAAGAAAAGGAAACCAAATAGGTTCTGGAAGGGGAACATCTGCATGAGAAAGGCCTATATAAGGAAGGGTTGTTTCTGGTGCTGGGATATGAAGTCTGGCAAGACTTCAAAAAGTAAAGGGTAAGAAGTATTCCAGAGAGAGGGAAAAGTTTGGGCAAAGACATGATTAGTGTCAGGTATATACAGAGCCGGGTGAACAGAAAACTGTGCCTGCTGGTGGGTAGCAAAGTTCAAAATTCCAAGTTGTGGAAAGCTTTCATTATCAAAATTAAACTGTCAAGCAGAACCACAGAAGGTTTCATCATTGGAAGAATGACATAATTGGAGATGGTGAAAATTTGTTAATATGTTAGAAGGAGGGTGTGGAGATCAATTAGTAGGCTATTTCAAATATTTCAGACAGACGTAAAGAGGAAAGGAGTAGAAATAATTCTGCATTAGAATGGACAGCACTGCTCAAATGGGGAAGGGATACGACATTGACTAAAAGGAAAACTCAAACAGGGTAAGAATGAGGGAAGGATGGGAGATGATTAGTTCTATTTTAGAAACCTTAAGTTTTATATGCTCCCATGATGTTGCACAAGTGGTTAAAATATGGCTCTAAGAATGAGGATACAGGCAAATTTCAGATGATGAGAATCAGAAAAAATTTAATTGGTCCATAGTCAATTAAACATTAACAAAAAGGGTTTGTGACAAACATTTCTAAATTTTTTCAGAAACACATATTTTTATTTATAAAAAATACAAAGAATATTAAAAGTTCTCATATAATCACTGCTTGAATTTTCAATGTGCCCTGTGCCTAATTTTTATTTTATTTAGGAACAGAGCTCCTCATAATTTCACCGTGTCTTCAAAATCATTAATTTCCTATAATTTTTGGGAAAGGAAGAACTCATTTATAACATGCTTCTTATCTACTCAGTAGAATAATAACATCTTTTATGTCTAAAAGAAGTCCAGTCTTTGTTAAGTCTCTATGCAAAAAGTTTTAAATGATGTACAAAATCTTTTAAAAGGTCATTCTAATTTCAAAAATGTTAACATCTGAAATTATGTCATCTTTAATTATCAGGAGAATAACTGAAGAATAATAAAATGTAACACTTACTTTTGCTGCACCTATCTGTTCTTTTCGAAATTTCTCAAGTGGTGCAATTAATACATCGTTAGCGTTTTGGATCTGAAATAAAAAATGCACATATATTAAATCTTGCATAATTTCATGCCAACAACATTGAAAAAATGGCTACTTTATCCAATGTATCAAATAGACTGTTTTTGTTTTTGTTTGCATCTATAAAAACAACTTACATGTTATATACAGTTCTTCTACTATATAATTAAGCTGTTTTCGCATATTATTTCCCTTGATCCTAACAACAATGTGAAAAATACGAAAATAAGTACTTGTTGTGGTGAAATCTTAGTTTGAATACTTAAATTTCTTCTTCTAAGACTTAACTAAGAAATAGCACATTGGGTATTAAATTTACAAATACCTATAATTACACTGGTTTAATGTAGCCAGTTCAAGCATCATTTTAAAATTAAACTATATAAAAGCTCTTCCATTTTTCCATTAGAATGGTAGAATTCTACAGCTGCAAAATTAGGCTTATTTTTCCCCCTATTTAGTTAGATTCCTCAAAATGAGGAATTGAGGTTTGCCTGAACATTCTCATAATGTTTCCAACCTGACTAAAATAGTATTTGATTCCATTTCAATAAAAACATATTTTAGCCCCAAATTCCACATTGAGATTTACTTAAACTTTAAAACAAATAAATCTTTTAATATTGATCTGTAAGACTACTACAATGGGAGTGCAAGATATGAAGACAAGCAACTGAATGAAGCAGACAGAAATTTCTAAGGATACCATTATTCTGGAGGGGAATGTTGATTTAAAAAACAGCCTTTAGAAAGCATTAAAATAAAGAGGAGGCCCAGTTTACAAAATTTGTAATTTGTTCTACCACTATGACAACTGAACATAATCTATTACATGAATAGCAAATGCCAGGATAAAGAGAGAAAAACTCTTATTTTTAAAATATATTATCCTACTTTAAAATAGGTTAAAAGGTATACAAGTGTTCCATGTACTATTTTTCTAACCTTTTTGTAAGTTTGAAATTATATCAAAATATGTGCATTTCAATAAAAGTGTCACTTTCCTTATTTTCATCAAACTGGTTTATCTCTAGTCAAGTTTAATTTCTTAAAGTCCATAATACACAAATGCACACAGATAATATACAAAAATAAAAACTAGAGTGTTGACACCACCATCCATGATCCTGTTAATCCTCGATTTGCAGAAAAATGAGAATGACAGATCTTGAAAAGAAGACCAAAATCCTATGCTGTGAAAGCATAGAAAGTGGACTAATACTCAAAAAATCTTGTCTCAGACAATGAGGGCCAACTGGAGATACCACTGGCATCCATCACCTAATCCCCATTTCTGAGCTCAGACAGACATACCTCCAGATAGACTGTGCAGGCGTCCTACTGCGCAGAGATTATTGGAAATAGTAGTAAAATAGCTCACTTTTAATTCTCTCTCTAAAACCTCTATGCCCTCATTAAAACCCTAATTACATAAACACACACACACACACACACACACACACACACACACACCCCTATCCAGATTGTACAGATGCGACACATAGCTGACTTCACCTTTAAAGTTAAGTTTGCATAAGGGGAAAGACAGTATCATAAGTACTTTAGTGTAACTTGGAGTAATAGCAACAATAAAGCCTACTATTTATTGAATGTTTACTTTATGCTGGAAATTGCAATAAGTCCTTCACAAGCATGAGCTAATGTATTTAAAGCCAGCTAAATGGCTGGGAGAGAAATTCAAATCTGAAGTGATAAGGAACGAGGACGGGTTTCTGTAGTATTGACAGATGCATAGCAGGAATTCCAGAGACAGTTCTATGGAAGACACAAAGGGACTCAATGACAAATTGCGTAGAGGGAGAAAGAGAGAGGAATCAATGGAAAAACTAAGGTTTTGGCCTCAGCCACTGGAACTTTAGTAACGTATCAGAATTGGGGCAAATGAGGTAGGGAGTATGCATGGTAGAAAAAGAACAAAGGCAATGATTAATTTCACTTTGGTCCAGTTACATCTGATGTCATGGAAAGACTCAAAGAAATATTATGTCAGAAATCCCATCTCACATTGGCAGAACTAATAAATATGAATGGATGTTTTTTATTGGGAAGGAAAGGATTGTGAAAGGGAGTAGATGGGCTGATGTCATATCCTAAGACCTTGGCACTCACATTCACATCCAATGGTTTACATCTACCCCTTCTCTCACTGTTACATACATATGACCTCAGAATAAAGCAAAAGCCAGATGATATAACAAAACAGAATAATTAACAGCCACCCTGTGGCCTAAGTATAATTTCCTATCTCTATTTCTTCCACATTTCTTGGGTTATTTTTCCTTTGTTTTGGGATTTGCTTTAATTTTTTTTTCTTCTTCTCCCGTTCTATTAATGTTAAACCGAAGGAAGAAATAAATAAGTGGCAAAGGTATTAAACAGAAAAAAAAGAAGGGTGTGAAAACATCCAACACTGTGATAAAGAAGAACAGAAATGATTTCTTGAGTGTTTCTAATGCGTCAAATACTACATTAAGGTCTTCACAATATAGAGATCAAAGTCAATATTTTATGGGTAATGAAGTCAAACATATAAAAAATGATCTGGAATGTATTAAAAACATGAATGTTGAAGACAGATTCAGCTTCATTTGAATCTAAGTGCCAAAACTGACAACACACAGTGTTTCATCCCTGTACTTCTTAAGGTTTTTATAAAAAATTAAAAGCAAAATAAATTATTTTGAAAAAAATCACTAGCATAGATTTGGCACATGGAAGGCTCTCAAAAAATGTTAACTTCCTCAAAGAATTAATTGAATGTCTACTCTGTATTCATAACTGTCCTAAGCAGTCTTATAGTTTCCCCCAAATGATTTAAAATGTAGTTATTCAAAGCTAGAAATTGAAATCCAGATTAATAACAGAACTTATCCAGAGGCCTAGCAGTAGTAGATAACCCTACATTTTTCCATAAACCATTATAACAAATGCCTGGCTCTACCTCTGAAAAATGTTATCACTTTTGTGTGCAGTCAGTGGCTGCTGTTCACAATATGTAAATTTAAATTCAAGAGATCAAAATGGAAAATGCCAGCACTCAAAGGGCACTAAGTGGATTTACAAACCAATTTGGCTGCTTGTGAGCCTCATCTTTATACATTCCCCCTGGGAATACATGACTTTTATCCCTACACAGTGGTCACTCATATGGATTAAACTCTCCAATTCTAAAGCAATCCAAGTGTGAAGTCAAGAAGGTGTTAAAATTTTGGTAGGATTAAAAGAGTTACTGTTGCTACTGCATAAGAAAGGAAAATGTCATATAAAGGGTAGGAAACCCTTATTTAAAATGTGAATTAGAGTACAACGATGGTGACAAACCTTGCAAAGTTAAAAAATAAATGTAGAGAAATGCAATTTTTGCTCATATGGAACTCTTTCATCCGGATTCACAAAACAGGCTTGATGAAATTCCTTCCAAAAGGGTAATACTTGGGGGAAAAATCAAGTCAGAGTTCAGGAGATTCAGGATCCCACAGTATCTGTGGAATGTGCAACTTTGCATGACTTTACTAAGATGCTTTAGAAAAAATACAAAATCAATTTTAAGACTCTCCCTAAATATTGATAAGATAAATTATTGAAGATACCTTATTATGGTAATTAAGAAACAATTAACTTATAATTACTAGCCATTACCTAAACCTTGGCTTTGAACAACTTATTTTTATAGATATTGGTTTACATTTAAAGTAAAAAACAATTACTGGTGATTTCACTTATTTTCAGTAGAAGAAAAGCAAATCTGATATTTGGTAATACTTTACAATATAGCATTTACCATGCATTTTACTGTGGGTAGGTTATTTAAGTCAGGCAATTAAGTTTCCTGTCACTTTCTTTTGCTATTTCAAGTGGTTCTAATAAATAGCCACAAGGGGGTGCACATAAATCATTCAAAAGTAATGGCTAGAAACGCTTTTATGTGGTTTGAAGAATGATTCTCCAAATATGTTTGGATTTCCTTTTTTTCCCCCACATAATCATGAATTATAATTTTCTATGGATCATGCATTTTCAAGTGCTATCTGATAGGAATTTTCAGTGCTTGCTTTTCACTGCTGATAATCTTGCCACACTTATTCATTAAAAAAAGTAGCAATGGAATAAAATAAATCTGAAAGGTATGTCTCTTAACAATTTTATTTTTACACTACTTCCCTTTCCAGGTTTTGATTAAAATCCAGTGATGTTGGTGCCAGTCACAGCTCATCACTAATTAATGACTATATGTCCCATTATCTTGCAACTCATTAGCTAACACATCCGAATGTCAGAAAAATTACAATTCCTTACCTCTCATTTTCAAAGCAATAAAACACTCAGTTTTGATGCAAAGATTTAGTTATATATTCTCAAGTACTATTTAAAGCAATACTTCTGATATTCTAAAGTACTATTTAAAGCAATTGCTTAAGGCTATAATACGCTACACTATTTACAACAAAAAACATAAATGGTACAGTTCATTGCAAAAATAATTTCCTGTTGAGATGTCAATATAAACAATCAATACAAAGTGGAAAGACCACAAAGGTAGGTAATAATAAGTGAAATGATCATAATCGATGCAGAAGCTATCTACACCGTCTTCGACGTAAAAGAATGGGTTATTTTCCCATTCATATTTGCAACTGAATCACATCACAGCTGAAAATCACATCACAGTTCTAATTTGTGATTGATTACAAGCAAGCATCTCTTCTCTGCCTTGTCCCAAACTGTATCTAGTTCTTCCTTCCTCAATAGCTTCTTAGAAAGAAGTTCTGGCAAGGGGTGGGGAACTGGGGTGCTAGCCTGGGGTTCACTCCCTGGTACTGGCCAATTTAACTCTCTATAGCTACATAATATAGACATTCTTCTCTAGGTCAGCAAATCCACAGCACCACTAAACTAGATCTCAATGGCCAAAACTCACACGAGGTATAGAGGATGGATACACGAGCACGTCTTGCATTAATAAGTAATCAGAAGTCAAGGACTGAATACATTTTACTTCATACACTTTAATGTGAGCAAACGACTGAAAAAAACATATTGTCATCTAAAAACAAATGCTATGTAAGGCTATCTGGATACTAGTCATTCAATTAATTCTGACTTGAACATCACTTGCTGCTTCAGCATTTGAATGTTTTGGATCTACTTAGTGACAGAGTTCCACTATGAATCCCACCCCATTGGACCTCATCAGTTAGATCTAACTCTTACTTGAATTTAATATAACTTTCATCTTTCTCCATTTTTACCAGCAATAATACTTTTCCTATGGAAATATATTGGGAAAATTAATTTAAGTTTCTGGAGAATTGTGCTATATGAATAGCCTCTTCTTTTTCAGAAGATAAGCAGAAGCAATACACTCTCAGGAGAATACTCCCATTTATTTTTAATTAATTGGCCTAACCATGACAACTATGCAATCTTGATCGAGTTACTCAAACTAAGTTTTCTTTTCTATATAATAAAGATGATAATATGTCCTTATCTCATGACCTGCTTATAAAGCTTAAATTTTTTACTTTATGTCTAATGATCATAAAAACTTATTAATAAAGCATTAATTGCCCATTAAATTCTTTCTTTTGAGTAGGCCAATTGCAGTGCTCTAGATTTTTTTTTTTCAATGAATTAGGAAGCTGCTATTGGAGTTTTAGTATAAGAGTGAAATCTCACTAGCACATACTTGATGTCAAAGCTTATTAACTGTAGAAGAGCAGTTAATAGGGGTAAAATGGCAAGCAATCCTCTCTACTTCTAGAGTTTATAACTACTGCTGAATGTATAAATCAAATTAAAGTTTGCTATTTTTTAAATAAAACCATCTATACTCATAAGGTGGAGGAATGGAAAACCATTCAACCAAGAAGGAATTGACCATTTTCACAGAATCTAGCAGAGGAAGTGGGAGAGGAGAGTAGATTGTAAAATTTCATATAATCCACTGTGATGTAATTAACATCATAACTCTAGGTGGTAACAAATGAAACTATTTGTGTACTAAGTTATTTGAACCACAAAGGTAGGTTATTTATTGTATCCTTCTTCTTGTTCTGAAACTACTTTTGTTTTATTCCTTTCTACCCAGCAATCTCTAATGGGGGATTAAAGTAAGAACACTTTTTAAACATTTAAGCATTGTGGAAACATTTTCAAATACCAGACTTAACCATAGCATATTGCCTCCCCACTTATCTACTTATCACCAGCCTGATTACTGCTTTTTCATTTATAACCCTTTAATATTGGAGGCTAAAAACAGTCAGAAAACAAAGTCAAACTTCTTTTCAACTATAAATATCAAGATATGTGAAAGGTCAAATTAGGATTGACATCTTAAAAGCTGCTTAAAATAATTACTCCAAATGACCTGCATATACATTCACTTTTAAAAAAATACTTTTTTGATTTTGACCAAAATGTATGCATTTAAGAAAGCAATTTTATAGAATTTTTTAAAAGACTATATTAACTCAAAGGTCACACAGGGAAGATATTTAAATTATGTCATTCAGAACCTGTATTCTCAGAGAGAGATTTAAGAAATGTTGCACCCTGAAGTTGTTTCATTCCAACAGGTTAAATACTCGCTCCTGCATTTGACTAGGTAAAAATGTTCTTCGGGGATACTGGTAAGGTTACTTCAGCCAGTCCTCTACCTTTGCACATTCTAAGGAAACACCAGGGTCTGCTGAACTTTGTACCTCTGGTGGCACAATTAGACCACTCCAGTGATGTTCCTATGTTTGTTAGTACTATAGAAGATGGCCAAAAATATTCCTGTAACACAGTTGCCCCATTTATGTCAATATCCTCATGTTCATGAAAATACACCTCCTCCCATTCTCCCACCTCAAAAATCAGAGACACTGTACATCCCAAGCTGAGCTAATTAGGGCCTCAAAAATATTTCTTTTTACATGTTCTAACCCCTAACTTAGAGTGGGGGAAAGTGGCTTTGTGTATGGGAGCAAGGGGAGGGAGCTTCAGCAAAGTGATAATTTATATCACTCCCTTCCTCCCGCTTAATGCTATTTCTTCTGGCTAATTTTGCTCTATTCTTCTTGGTATTCCCTACTAAGTATCTTTGGGTTGAAAAAATAAAATCATTCATCTGTTATAAATTATTCATTCGTGAATTTAAGCAAACTTCTGATAGCCTTTGCAAGTTTAAAAGCAAATAAAATGCATTAAATAAATTCCCAGTCATATTTTATAGCAATTGCATTTTAGTAGCTGAACGTTAATATAATTTAATCATAATTGTTCAGTATTTAGATAATAGCAGATTGCTAAAAGTTTAAGAAAAATGGAAGATATCCCAATATATATGCAATTTCTTAAATTACTTATTGTAGTTGTGCATTAATGGGGGAGAATGGGAATAAAGAGGAGGACAGGAGAGAAGAGGGAAAGAAGGAAGGAACTATGCAGGATACAGATGTACATAAATAAAGCAGAGAATGATCTAACTAATACAGGGAGAAATTAAGGAAAATTAGGTCTGGGGCCAGCAGTGTGTTAAAGCAGGCTCATAGTGGCTCACAGAACCTTTGTGCTCATCTCTTCCCAACCTGCACTGGGTAAGTGACCTTGTGTTGAAATCAGCCAAGGTGGGAGGATTTACTCAGTGAAGATCAGCAAGCACTACCAATCAGATTTCTCACACATACATAGGCACATGTATGCATGCATGTGCATACAACATGCACCTGAGTGCCAGTGGTTAACTTTTTACCAACATACCACTGCCTGGAGCCAAATACGTAATTACGCATTGCTTAACAATGGGCATGTGTTCTGAGAAATGGATCGTTAGGCGATTTTGTCATCGTGCAAACATTGTATACATGGAATGCCTTCTGAAGAACATGCCTGAGACTGTTTTATGGTTAACTTCATTATAAGTAGAAGTATACACTCTAAAATAATGATCAAAAGTATAGTAATACATAAACCAATAACAAAGGTGTTCATTATCATGATCAAGTGCTACGTATTACACACAATTCTATGTGCCATACTTCCACAGATGGGCAGCACAGATTTGTTTGCACTGGCATCACCAGAAACACGTAATGTATTGCACTATGATGTTAAGGCAGCTATGATGTCATTAGGCGATAGGAATTGTTTAGCTCCATTATAATCTTATGGGATCAATATCATGTATGTGACTCATTGCTGACTGAAATGTTATGAATACATGACTAAATATAAATGGCATGCACCATGAATGCTGTTGCTCTTGTTAGCAAATAATGTTTATAGCTAACATTTTGTGATCATTCATTCAGTGTTCAGGTTCATCCCTAGAATCTTTCACAGTCTAGCACCATAGAAAGCTACTATCTCCTGGCCAGGCGCAGTGGCTCACACCTGTAATCCCAGCACTTTCGGAGGCCGAGGTGGGTGGATCACCTGAGGTCAGGAGTTTAAGACCAGCCTGGCCAACATGGTAAAACCCCGTCTCTACTAACAATATGAAAATTAGCCAGGCATGGTGGCACACGTCTGTAATCCAAGCTACTTGGGAGACTGAGGCATAAGAATCATTTGAACCTGGGTGGCGGAGGTTGCTGTGAGCTGAGATCCTGCCACTGCACTCAAGCCTGAGTGACAGAGCGAGACTCCATCTCAAAAAAAAAAAAAAAAAAAAAAAAAAGAAAGCTACTATCTCCCAGATAGACTTGTGAAGCTAAAACTGTCACCAGTGCTAGAGTAGAAGTTTGTGCCAATGTTGTTAGGGAAACTCAGAAACCAGAAAGCCTTACATGTGTAAAATTAAGTTTAAGTATAAAGAAGTACAAATGAATTTAATCTTTTCAATATTGGAAAAGACATATTTAATTGGAAATGTTATAGGTTAACAGATACATGTTTAAAAGACATGCTTTAATAACTAGATAAAAGAGATCTTGTATAGTTAGCACTCTTTACCACTATTTGTTGTTTAATATAGGTGTTTTTTGAATAAATACATAACACATAACAGCCACATTATGACCACAACACGGTATATATGGTCAACAAGACTGCATATACTACAGAGGTCCCATAAGATTATAATGGAGCTGAAGAATTCCTGTCACCTAGTGATGTCATAGCTGTTGTGACATTGCAGTACAACACATTACCTTTTCTGTGTTTAATATGTTTAGATACACAGATGCTTACCATTGTGTTACAATCACCTACAGTATTCAGTACAGTGATATCCTGTATAGATCTGTAGCCTAGGAGCCTTAAGTTACAGTGGAACCACGTAGCCTACGTATTATTTTCATATTTTCTAATTTCTATATCTTCAAAAGTAGTTATTTTCCCTATTAAAATCTTTTTTGAAAAGTGATACGCACTGTCTATTGCATCCCCAAACACGGTTTCAGTATTGTGCTGATGCCATGTTTATGTGTGTGATAAAAAGTCAACTTCAGTAGAATAATGATGATTGTTCTTGGCTTATGAAATGCTTACTTGAAATAATATAATGATGAGGTAAGGATCAGCACGGCTACAGTAAGGTTAAGAAGAGATCATTAAAGGAGGAGCATTTCTCATACATAATTCTACCCAATTAAAGTTTGAGAAATGAGAAAAAAGGAATATTCCTTCAGAAACGTAAGCATCATAATATTACCTTTTCCTAGTTCACTTTCCCTGGAACAACACTTACTTGGGATGTTTATGTCACATGCTATCTCGATATAAATAAACACAGGAAACATGGTAATTGGAACTTGTACAGCTAAGAAAAAACAGCACCAGAAGCTAATACACACACACAGTATATCTTTACTATAAACTAGCCCCTTAGTGTCTGTTTGGATGTGAACATTTTAAGGATCTCTGAGAATTAGGGGGAAGAGAAAATAATCTTTTTAAATAAATAATTCCTTGATTGAATAAGCCAGCAAATTTAATCACAGTGTTGTTAAAAATAAAACCAAAAAAAAAATTAACTGAAAGAGAAAACTTTAGAGCTTTAACACAGAATACAAAGTCCATGAATACCCAAAAGTTATCTACGTCCTACAATTTAGCAAACAAGAGATATGATTTATTTTGCAAAGATTTTCTTTCAAACTTTCCCAGGCGTTTGAGCACAGGCTCTTAGTCATAGCTAAGAATTACTTCCCAAATAAGTTCCATATGTTATAACTCTCGGCCCTGGTCTTTTCCAAATCCAGATCTGGTCATAAACTATGGGCCAGTTTTCCACACTGTACAGCTGTCAAAAGCCTTTCTTACCCAAGGAAGTAAAGAGCCTCTTTCAGCCCTTAATGTGAGGTCTTACATCATGTGAAGAATGAGTGATATGTCAATACTAGACAAATTCTCTTTAAAACATATGACAAACAACATTAAAAAAATTACACTTTTCCTTATCTGTGAAAAGCATGTTCCAACAGAAAATACAATCATTTAATAAATCATTAACATCTGACCTCTTTTGGTCTTACCCTTAGGCCATGGCTTGAATTACTTTCAGTTCATAGAATTGGCTATGAGGCTGTTTAAGATTCTTCTCCAGAAAATGAAGCTTAAAAACTACTTTTCTTCCAGACAGCTTGAGACATTTGAGACATTCACACTCTCCTGCACTTATCACGATGCGTACAATCAGATAATAAGGTAAAGCAGAAAGGCTATGCCATGTGCCACCTGAATCATCCTATATAATTATGAAAAACTGCTCGCTTCTCTTTCTTTTGCCTCCTAAAAAATTAAGAGATATCTACTATATTTAGTGGGAAAGAAAAGTTACATTTTGGGAGGCCAAGGTGGGCAGATCACTTGAGGCCAGGAGTTCAAGATCAGCCTGGCCATCATGGTAAAACCCTGTCTCTACTAAAAATAAAAATAAAATAGCCAGGTGTGGTGGTGCACACCTGTAATCCCAGCTACTCGGGAGCCTGAGGCAGGAGAATCACTTGAACCTGGGAGACGGAGGTTGCAGTGAGCCGAGATTGTGCCACTGCACTCCAGCCTGGGTGACAGTACAAGACTCCACCTCAGGAAAAAAAAAAAAGAAAGAAAGAAAAAGAAAAGTTAGCTCCTTAGATGTCCAGTTTACATGAGCAGGAAGATGGTTGCTGGTTGTAAAACTCTCCTTATCTCCATGTTAACCCGGTCCCCAAACACAGAATCCTAACAACAAAACATAATGTCGATAATCACATCCGGTTTGTAACTTTCTGCTTTCAGTAGTGTCCTAACACATTCAAGTATATTAATAGTTAAGGAATATTTTAATTAATCTAAATTACTAATCTGAAAATGTTGGAGGGAAAAATGCACGTTCTCGGATAATTCAGGAATACAGTAAAATTGGAATGTATGTTACAACCATCAAAATTAAAATAGCTTTGCATACTAACATAAAGATACAAAGCTAATGACATAGTGTACCTTACCCCAAAGCTTCCCAATTCCCACTTCATATGTCATCATGAGAGCACCTAGGTGTTATCTTAACAGCCTTTTGACTCAGGTGACCTTTCAAGAATTCTTTTGCAGAGTAAAAGGAGCAAAGACAGACTCAACCAACTTAATCTTACATTTCAAGATAAGAAAACACTCTACACTCCATCCATGGGTCGACTAATGCATTTTCAAGCTTCAAATATCAGGTGAAGTGAACGCTTAATAATGCTTTCTCCAACCCAGATGTTTCTGCCAAGCTTCTTATCTATAAACTGTCCCACTCCCACGGACACCTCAAAAACACACCCTCAATGCAGGTCCCAGGCTTCTCTACTCCACTGATTTATCTCCTCTCAGTGAATGGCACTATATTCAGCCAACTGTCCAGTCACCCTAGACCAAGGCCTCTCCTTCATCTTCTGTGCCCAGTCCAGGGTCTCCCCGCCGCCTTAGCTTGTCTCCAGTCACATCTCTCCAGGTTAAATTAGCAATTACACAGCTCTCAGCCCTGTGTTTCACGACCCACCTATATTTAACGTTCCACACAGCTGCCAGAATGTTCTCTTTAAATGGACAGTATTTCACTCCCCAGCGTTTATCATCTCTCCACAACCTTCAATAGAGAAGGACTTCCTTTAGCCCAGTATCCAAGGGTCCTTAAAGAAAAGGCATCTCCTTACCTCCTAAAAACCTTTTTTGCTGCCATTCCCACGTGAGAAAGCCTTGATTTCTACCATGCGCATGGCAGATGCATTTGACAGTCCTAACTTAAGCACACCTTGAGAATGAGCCTGTATGGCAGATACCCTGAATGTGTGTTCAGAGTTCCAAACTAAGGAATTGAGAGTGGCCAACTGGAGATTCATTACTTATCTATGTGGAACATCTGAACCCTCAGCCCATCCAGTGGAACACAGGCCATTCAGGGGATCGAGGCCTTTGCCTTGGGTTAAATAAAAATTGCCAGGTGGAGGTTGTTAGTGGGAGGGTGTTAAGTGAAAATACTATGTAACCTGCATGCTTTTTACAAGTGGGTTGGTGGTTCTTCTGTTCCATCCCACTGTCACTGGACCACTCCGTATGTAAGTTTCCCACTAATAAAGCCCTGTGTTTTGTGTGCTGGCTCTGGGTCTCTTCTTCAGCTGCTTGAACCTGGTGCCATCCTATTGAAGTTAACAGGGGTCTGGCATGCCACCATGTAACACGACTTATAAATTCTAGCTCCCCCTGGACCTCTTCAATCCTTCTCTCTGTTCCACTTGTTCCCTATCTGAACACCTCTTACTCATTTTTTAAACCTCAGCCAAGTTTTACCTCCTTGCTGAGCCTTCCCTAATATTCCTAGGCTAAGTCTCGAGGCCCTTCTTCAAACTCCCACAGGATATTGATCATATGACTATCACAGCAGATACCAGTACTCTGCAGACCACAGTGTGCACAGTGTGTCTTCCCATCCAGATTATGAGTATTTTTGAGAAAATGCTTACGTCTCCAGCTTTTATTTTTGTATCCCCCAAAGATGAGAGCAGTATCTGAGGCATATAGTTACTAGCCAACAAATATTTATTGATATAAGCTTATTGGTTGGAAGTGGGGGTAGGGTAGGAGGTGGAGAAAGAATATGGAAGACAGGAAGTTAGAGAGTGGAAAATGCCAAAATCAAACTTAAATGATAAAGATGGACAATGTCAGACTTTACATTCCTACAAACTAAACATCATTTTCCTATTCATATATCAGTTTCAGTCTCAAACAATGCTCTATCCATGCATACACTAGCTGAGTGTGAGGTGTTCTGACGAACCATTGAGGAAGAAAAATCAGAAATGCATGGATTCAGTATGAAGATACCCTTTGTCTCTTTTGGAGAAAGAGAAGATTTTAATAGATAGCAAATGAAGACCACCTTCTACTTAAGCATGCCAAGTTTCAGGTCTTTATCACATACAAAAACAAAAGGTTAATTACCTCATTAACTTTTTACTTCTACTTCTAAAAGGTGAATGGATGAGATTAACTTCTGGAACTTTGTTTCTTTGTAAACTCTAGTTACCATTTTGGAAATGAATCTTGAAGAAGCACTGGGGATACAGCAGGGAGAATA
This sequence comes from Homo sapiens, assembly GCF_000001405.40. NCBI lineage: Eukaryota > Metazoa > Chordata > Mammalia > Primates > Hominidae > Homo > Homo sapiens. The sequence continues at coordinate 100,846,007 of NC_000011.10, read as the reverse complement.
GGCATGCTAAATGCTATTTGGCAAAATAACCTATCCCTAGCCATTTATTAGAAATAAATAAGCAATGGCCTGCTGTCTTATCACTGGATGAGGCCTTGTTAGCCTCCGCCAAAAACTCAATTAGGCTGATAAACAATCTTGGAAGAATGAAGGGTCAAAAACACAGCTTCTTGTCATCTTTGAGCTTACTAACCAGGGAACATATTATCTACATTACTAAGGTACAAAATTACATTACTGAATTACAATGAGGACAACTGGGCAAAAAGGTGAAAACGAGGGCAAGACTATGTAATGCTGTGAAGTGGATAAAATCTGTTTTCAAAAGCTTCTATCTCTTCAGCTACCCCTAGGTAGGTTTTCTTCAGCCTTTATTCAAGTGTGTTTATTTTATCTCTGAGTAGGCTTTGTCTGGCCTTTATTCTAGTTTGTTTACCATCACCGCCTCCTCTCACTAAGGACTATGCTTCCAGGAAACCTAAGTTTTATTTTTTAGTTTTTTTTTATTTTCATAGGTTATTGGAAAACAGGTGGCATTTGGTTACATTAGTAAGTTCTTTAGTGGTGACTGGTGAGATTTTGGTGCATCCATCACCCAAGCAGTATACACTGTATCCAGTTTGTAGTCTTTTACCCCTCACCCCCTTCCCACCCTTTCCCTCTGAGTCCCCAAAGTCCATTGTATCATTCTCATGCCTTCGCATCCTCATAGCTTAGCTCCCAATTATGAGTGAGATTATATGATGTTTGATTTTCCATTCCTGGGTTACTTCACTTAGAATAATAGTCTCCAATCTCATCCAGATTGCTGCCAATGCCATTCACTTCTTTTTATGGCTGAGTAGTATTCCACTGTATGTATATGTGTGTGTATACATATATATACATATGATATGTATACATGTGTGTGTGTGTATATATATATATATATCACAGTTTCTTTATCCACTTGTTGATTGATAGGAATTTGGGTTGTATCCACGTTTTTGCAATTGCTAATTGTGCTGCTATGAACATGTGTGTGCAAGTATCTTTTTCATATAATGACTTCATTTCCTCTGAGTAGATACCCAGTAGTGGGATTGCTGGATCAAATGATAGTTCTATTTTAGTTCTTTAAGGAATATCCACTCTGTTTTCCACAGTGGTTATACTAGTTTACATCCCCACCAGCAGTGTAGAAGTGTTCCCTGTTCACTGCATCCAAATCAACATCTACTATTTTTTGAATTTTTGATTATGGCCATTCTTGCAGAAGGTGATATCGTACTGTGGTTTTGATTTGCATTTCCCTGATCATTAGTGATGTTGAGATTTTTTCATATGTTTCTTAGCCACTTGTCTATCTCCTTTTAGAATTGTCTATTCCTGTCCTTATCCCACTTTTTGATAGGATTTTTTTTTTCTTGTTGATTTGTTTGAGTTCATTGTACCTTCTGGGTATTAGTCCTTTGTCAGATGTATAGATTGTAAAGATTTTCCTCCCATCCTGTGGGTTGTCTGTTCACTCTGTTGACTGTTCCTTTTGTTGTGCAAAAGCTTTTTAGTTTAATTAAGTCCCAGCTATTTATCTTTGTTTCTATTGTATTTGCTTTTGGGCTCTTGGTCATGAAATCCTTGCCTAAGACAATCTCTAAAAGGATTCTTACAATATTCTAGAATTTTTATTATAGATTCAGGTCTTAGATTTAAGTCCTAGATACATCTTGAGTTGATTTTTGCATAAGGTGAGAGATGAGGATCCAGTTTCATTCTCCTAGATGTGGCTTGCCAATTATCCCAGCACCATTTGTTCAATGGGGTGTCCTTTCCCCACTTTTTGTTTTTGTTTGCTTTGTCAAAGATCAGTTGGCTGTAAGTATTTGGCTCTATTTCTGGGTTCTCTTTTCTGTTCCATTGGTCTATGTGCCAATTTTTATACCAGTACCATGCTATTTTGGTGACTATGGCCTTATTGTATAGTTTGAAATCAGGTAATGCAATGCCTCCAGATTTGTTATTTTTGCTTAGTCTTGCTTTGGCTATGCAGGCTATTTTTTTGGTTCCATATGAATTTTAGGATTTTTTTTATAGTTCTGTGAAGAATGATGGTGATATTTTGATGGGAATTGCACTGAATTTGTAGATTGCTTTTGGCAGTATGGTCTTTTTCACAACATTGATTCTATCCATCCATGAGCATGGGACGTGTTTCCATTTGTTTGTGTTGTCTATGACTTCTTTCAGCAGTTTTTGCAGTTTTCCTTGTAAAGGTGTTTCACCTCCTTGGTTAGATATATTCCTAAGCATTTTTTTTTCCTGCTATTGTAAAAGGGATTGAGTTCTTGATTTGATGCTCAGCTTGGTCACTGTTGGAATACAGGAGAGCTACTGATTTGTGTACATTAATCTTTTATCTGGAAACTTTGCTGAATTCTTTTATCAGTTCTAGGAGTTTTTTGGAGGAGTCTTTAGGGTTTTCTAGGTATACAATCATATCATCAGCAAACAGTGGCAGTTTGATTTCTTCTTTACCTATTTGGATGCCCTTCATTTCTTTCTCTTGAATGATTGCTCTGGCTAGGACTTCCAGTACTATACTGAAGAGAAGTGGTAAGAGTGAGCATCCTTGTCTTGGTAGAATGACTGGTAGAAATAAGCAAGAATCCATCTGTTCCTGGACTTTTTTTTTGTTGGTAATTTTTTTATTACCATTTCAACCTCACTCCTTGTTATTGGTCTGTTTAGGGTATCTAACTTTTCCTGATTTAAGCTAGGAGTGTTGTATCTTTCCAGGTATTTATCCATTTCCTCTAGTTTTCTAGTTTATGCATGTAAAGGTGTTCATAGTAGCCCTGGATGATCTTTTTGTATTTCCGTGGTGTCAGTTGTAATATCTCCCATTTTGTTTCTATTTGAGCTTCTTTGGATTTTCTCTCTTCTTTTCTTGGTTAATCTTGCTAATGGTCTATCCATTTTATTTAACTTTTCAAAGAACCAGCTTTTTGTTTCATTTATCTTTTGTATTTCTTTTTGTTTCAATTTCATTTAGTTCTGCTCTGATCTTGGTTATTTTCTTCTGCTGGGTTTGGGTTTGGTTTTTTTCTTGTTTCTCTAGTTCCTTGAGGTGTGATCTTAGATTGTCTGTTTGTGGTCTTTCAGACATTTTGATGCAGGCATTTAGGGCTATAAACTTTCCTCTTAGCGCCGTCTTTGCTGTATCCAAGAGGTTTTAATAGGTTGTGTCACTATTGTTGTTCAGTTCAAACAATTTTTTAATTTCTATTTTGATTTCATTGTTGACCCAATGGTTATTTAGGAGCAGGCTATTTAATTTCCATTTATTTGCATGGTTTTGAAGGGTTTCCAGGGAACCTAAGTTTTAAATATTTCCATTCATTACCACACTGTTTGGCCTACCAAGAAAACCTTATGATTTCTACGCCTTCTTTCATGAAGACTTTGCTCCATGCTTCCTAACAACTAGTAATTCTGATAATTTACACTGATTTACTGACAGGTGCTAATATGCTTCTTGGGCCCTGGAAGCTAATTGTCCGAGAAAATGTAAGACAGAATAATAATCCAATATTGGGACTTTCAGTGTCATGGATGGTTTAATGAGAGAAGTAATTGGACTGGTGAAAAAATAGTTGCTGCTATATCTATTTGCATTGCAAAACTTGAATAGGTTCTCATTTGAACTAATGACAACTTTATTGTAGGTCAAGTTCATATCTAGATAACATGGTAATAATGCTTCCCTTCTCAGTTTATGCATGTAGACGATGGTGAATGTAGGAGCTATATTTAAGTGTATGCTCAGTGAAGGTAACTGTCCAACCAGAAGCAAGACACAGACTATTTTTTGTCATAACCTTTCGGGTGAGAACTTAAAATTGTTCACAAATGAAGTTCTTGTAAACTGAAGCTGGATGTTTTTGGCTTAGTTTGCAATACTTCAATCTTTAGCCACTAGGCCATAATTCATTAATGCCTGTAACTCAATCATTTTCAAGCAAATACTTACAGTGTAATACAAATCTCTCCTGGAGCTTGTTTACATAGTTCAGGAAGACAGACAAGTAAGCCAAAAATAAACAAGATAATATCAGATAATGACAGGAGCCACAAAGAAAACAAAACAAGATGATGTGGCAAAAAATGACGGCAGTAGGGGGCACTGAATTAAACTGGATAGGCAAAGCCTCAGTGAGGAGATACCTTGGAACTCCAGCATTACTTACAAGAACTCCTCAACCGCCTCCAACCCCTACTCAAAGATCTGGAAGAAGGCTTTCAGGCAGAGAGAAGAGCAAGTGCCAATGCCGTAAGACATATTGATGAAATGAAAAGAAGGCTAGCATGATGAAAGCCTAGTGAAGGCAATGGAAAATAGAGATGAAGACTGGGTACAGAGCACCGAAGGTCTTGAGAACCATGGTATGAAATTTAGATTTAATTCTCTGCTGACTACCACAGAAATGCAGAATGTGATTATAACAATAAAGGATGAAAATTATATTCTAACTCAACTGATTCCACATTTTGTACTACATGCCATTGCTATTCATAAAAGTGTTATACTTCTGAGGTTTTTAAAGCCACTGTCACTGCAAAGAAGAGTGAAATCCACTGAGAGTTGAGGGGAAGTTCTGCCCCTAAATTGAACTCAACTCCTGAACAAACCAAAAAGTAACAGCAAAAAAAAAAATCTGGAAAAACCCCTTTGGTATTAACTGTCAATAACTCAACAAGTAAATCCAAATATTTGCAGCTTTTATCTATGATTCTACACTGACAAGAGCTAACAAGGTTAAAGCAACTTCTTTCCAGGGTGAAAGAAAGGATTTTTGTACTTGAATTAACCTGAGTTGTGCCTCACATTTATCACATTTCATGTCATCTAATTATAAAGTAAATGCCTCGTTACACAAAAGTGTACGTATCAAGAGACCGTATTTCATGGCACACCTATCAAATGAATCTGTTCTTCACATGTCAAAGTTATACTACACTGAAAATAATCTAGAACTAAGGGGGAGCATTGAGAATTATCATAGCTAATATCCTTTCTAGGAGTAAGGAGACTGAAGCCCAAAGAAGATAAAATTTACAATTGTTTAATAGCAGACTCAGCACTAACATAGTGTCTTTTACCTAGCTGACCTGAAGTAAAATGATGTTTTTCTTCACTCGATGATAACCTATCAACAATTTAATACAAATTTGGGAACAACTTTAGACACTTCTATATATTATTAAGAAACAATTAGGCGCTTCATCAGAAATGGATAGCATTACATGAATTATACCATAAAAATATTGGAATGCTAAAAGCAGAAGGCTTCAATTACCTTGCTTTAAAATAAATCCATCTCCTTTTTTCTTTTAACCCTTCTAAGTGTCAGCATCTGTGATTTTGCTGTGCTGGGGGATCTTGGTCATATGTACCCTTTTTGATATGCTCTAAGATCAAATTACATGGTCAAAAAACGTAAAGGAAATTAACATTAAATACTAAGTGTTCATATTATTCACATTCTAAAGTTAGATAATTCAGATTTACATATTTTACTCATTGAATATCAAGCCCCTTATATCCTTAACACTCAAAAGTGATAGATCTTGAACAATCTGTTGAGTCACCTCTGAGAGGAAATGCTGAAGGGACAGAGGAACATTTCCAAACTTAATCTCCTCTTTGGAAATCCCTGCAATAGAAAATCACCATTACTGACAAAAGTGTCGCAGCGACCTTGGGTGTCCCAAGGCAAAGAACTAAGGGAGAGCTGCTTTGTGACGTTACTTTGTAGGGGACGCATCATTTGCAGGAAATGTAGAAACATTTAGCTGTTTTAAAAGAATATGGAGGGCATGTTTGATACAAATATTCAATACATTCTTTCAAGAGTTCTTTCCTTTTTCAAGCATTACACTACTTTCTTTATAAGCCCTAGATATGATTTAATTTGAAGACTAGTTCATATTTTTACTTTTGATCCAATTCTAGTCTCATAAAATAAAAATTCAGGTCTCTCTGGGTCACACCACACATCTAAAAGTTGACAGTATGGTCTGGCACTACAGTCTCCTTCTAGGAGAAGTTTGGGAAATCATTCTAACCCCTAGTTAGCTCCATGTATCTTAAGAATCACCAATTATTTGAAAGCTTGGAGGTTCTAGGAGGGGAGTGCAGCTACTCATATACCCTTGACCGAGACTGGTCCTCCTTTATCGGGGATGGTCGTCCTCTTCGACTGAGAATGCAGCTTTGGGAGGGACGTGCATGGAGCAGTGAGGATGGAACGGGACACCAGCCTAGCCAGCCAGATCAGCCAAATCAACCCTGGTAATCAATGGGGTGACAGATGTCACAGCCAGATCATCCTCACATCTAACAACCACCAATTATTTGACATAAAACTTAACACACTGCCTAATCAGTCACTCTTTACTGCAGTGGTATCCAACTCTGCCCTTGGGCAATGGTGCTTTTACTCTACTCCATCTCCGGACTTATTCCACATATCCTCATGTTACTCCTTTCCATTTTCTTCATAGCAGATCCTGTCAAGAGCGTTTCCATTTAGCTGGTGTGTGGAAGTTATAGTATGTTTTAACTAGAGAATGTTAACTCCAACACTACCATGGTGATAGCCATTCACACTCACCTTTATTGGCTACAGAGAAAGTTCAGGTCATTATTTTTTATTTAAAAAAATAAAGGACATTGTCTTCCATTAATCACTGATCTAAAAGATCATAAAATCTTCATGAGACAGATTTAGGATTTGCAGATACTGCTATATCTTAGGAACACAAATATCATTAAGAATGGCTGGCCAAGAGTTGTCAAGTCACTCTCCATTTAATTCAGTAAGAACTAAGTAAGCCTTAATATCTAGAAAGGTGGTAAGCAGGAAGGGATGCGAGGCTGCCATGTTATAGCTGTGTTCTGTAGATGATATGCAGTATATATACTAGAGCACATAATACATAGAAGTAGTATATAATACACGGATGGCCCTTGTCCTAAAAAAAAAAAGTTATAATTTCATTGGGACACTAGGAAAACTAAGAGAAATAGTTTCAATGGTGGAAGTTAGTGCAAGGCTAAATAATAGAAAAAGGTTGGGAAATGAAGTGCCTTCCTAAGAATTAAGCTAGGCTATCAACTAACACAACTATATTTTTGCCCCTGTCAATGACTGACGACTCAACAACTGATCCTCAACGAAGCATTATATGCCCTATAAACAGATTAAATGTAGATTTTTTTAAACACTATGATTTTTTTTTTCTTGGTGTTTTTGTTTTATTTTGTTTTGTTTTTGAGATACGGTCTTGCTCTGTTACCCAGGCCAAAGTATCGTAGCACAATCATGGCTCACTGTAACCTTGACCTCCTGGGCTCAAGTGATCCTCCCATGTGGCTGGGACCACAGGCACACACCACCATGCCTGGCTAATTTTTTTGATTTTTTGTAGAGGCAAGGTCTCACCATTACCCAGGCTAGTTTTGAATTACTGGGCTCATCCGATTCTCCTGCCTCAGCCTCCCAAAGTGCTGGTATTACAAGCATGAGCCACCAAGCCCAGCCTACACTATCATATTATAATTAAGATATCTTTAGCTTGATGAGCATAAGTTTGAAAAAAGGAATGTCTATATACATTGTCTTTACTCACAAAGGACTTACTAATTTCAAAGAGAGAAAAGGTAAGGCCATAGTGGGAAAACTTGGCAGACACCGCTTTAATCAAGTGATCAAAGTTTACACCAACAGTAATGAGAAAAAGCAACACCAGGTGCCTTAATTCCTGCGCAAAATGCAGGAATTTACTCAGAAGGAAGCATCACACAAACCCAAATTGAGGAAATTTCTACAAAATAACTAGCCCAAACTTTTCAAACACGTCAATGCAATGGGAAACAAACAAACAAAAACAAACAGACAGACAGACTCAGGAACTGAGGCAGGCAGTTAGCGAGGGAATGGGGCTCAATTATTTTTAGGCAGCTAAGAACAACACAAACAGAGCCAAACAGGTTAGCACAGGACCTGTCTCCTAGTAAAATAAAATAAAATAAAATAAAAACCTGTTAGACTGCACCAATGAAAACAAATTGCAGACATCCCGCTAGGTGAATATAAAAATATAACAAAAACAGCCACAACTAATTAAATCCAAGATGGCCAAAAACTTAACTGACTGCTGACCCTTGGCTGCATTATGCCCCTATTATCATAAAATTTCCATGGAAAAAACCTCCCATTCTCATCGTGCACCTGATACAATGACAGTTCCAAATTAAGCATATTTACTAAAAAAAAAAAAAAAAAAAAAAAAAAAAAAAGGATGACACCTAGATTCTGGGAACTGCCTGTGAATTTCCGGGAAAACCTCTCCCCTTGTTATAAAATATTCCATGCCTTCATTATGCTTATCCATATAGTATGCAAGCCCTGACCACCTTGCAGGCAGCCCATTCTTTTGAGCATGCCTGCACTCATTCCTTGTGTATTTGCTTTCACTCCACAATAAAACTTTTATACTTACACTGTGATCTCATTTCCAAATTCTTTTGTGTGACAAAGACAAAACCTAAACTAGCCTTACGGACAACAAAACCATTCCAGATTTTGATGTCCAAAGCCAAGAAAAAAATATGTATATATAAAGGACAAAATTGTGACAATTAGCAAAACTTGAAAAAAAGATTCTGTGGTAACAGTAGTCTACCTGTGTTAAACTTCCTAATTTGGATAACTGCACTGTAGGTATATAAGTGAATATCTGTGTCTTAGAAAATACACACTTAAACATTTAGGGTTGAAAAAAAGCATGGTGGTTGAAACAGTCTCAAGACAAAGAGTCGTAAAGCAAATTTGGCAAAATGGTGAAGAATATAGGAAAGTTCTTTCTATTCTTGAAATTTTTCTATAAATGAAAATTATTTCAAAAGAAAATGTAAATATTTTAGCAACTACTAATGAAAATATGAGAAATTTACAATCTTGAACCTGATACAATGAAGTCGACATAAGAATTATTTCTATGCTTCCAAAACCAAAAATATTTTGCTGGAACTAGTCAGTTATTCATGACATGATTTACCTCCAGAGACTAGAAAGCAGAAAGTAATCAATAACATTCAAAATTGGTTGTAAAAAAAGGACAGGTTGAAAATAATAATGAGGTGTTCAAGTCCCAGACATTATATATGCTTACTGTTTTTTTAATGCATGTATATTTTGAGGTCTTTCATTTAGTTAACCAAAAAAAAAAAAAAGAAAACAACAACAAAAAAAAAACAAAAAACCTTACACATCTCAAATTAGGTTTTACATTTAAAAGAGAAACCTAACCACTCTTCAGCAAACAACAAAAGCTTGGATACATGAACAATTTTACAGTCATCATTTTATAACAGAATTTATCTAATTTTGAATTATTAGGAAAAGCAGAGGGAACAATGAAACATAGATTCCTACTGATTCAAACTTGGTATTTTCCAACTACACTTCATATTTCTCCTATAACTCAGAGTTCTTCCAATGCCATAAATATTGCATGGTCAATTTCAGACCTAGAAATTGACATTTCATCTAGCAAAAGGGCTGATTGTTCATGATGGAAAATTTTGTGTTCCACCTTTAAAAGCTCTGCATAACATAAAATTCTAATCTTCCTTCAGGAACCAGTAACAGTTTAAACCACCCCTTTACACTACCTTGGTTAACAGAAAATTCCATTCACATAGAAGACTAAGAACTGATCTGTGAACATTTTAGGAAAAGGTTTTTCATTATGAAATCAGAAGATTAAACTCTACTAATAACTAACTGCATAATCTTGGCCAAGTCAATAAAACTGTCTGAGGCTCAGTTTCTTCATCTGTAAGAGGATGAGATTTGACTGACTTCTCATGAGTCATTTCCAAAGCTCTAATGACTTGAAACTCTTTATTAAGTGTGAACTTACCTGCTATTTTTGTCTTGATTTTGAAAAATGACCCAAAAATCTCAAGAGATTTCCTTGTTCGGCTGGCTTCATTATCACATTAACTAGATAATTACAGGAGTAGAGTGAGTTGGAATTCCATGGTTAATCATGTGATAAGAAATATTCAAACACACTGGTGAAATTCAAAGTCAGATTTATTCCTGGCAAATACTGGCTTAAACCAGGGAAGAAGATAATTTCTGGAAAGAACAATTACCAATTGTATAAGGGGGGATCCAATGGAATATATATATACATATATACCATATTACTTATAACCAAATGAAGACTAAATAATTAGGATGAAAAAAAGTGTATGGCAATAGGAATATCATTAAGATGAAAATGATCTAAAGTGTACCCCTTCTGGAATATTGCCTCTTAAGATATAAATAATATAGTTACGATGTGATAACCACTGCTACCCTGAGTTTCCCAACAAACACCTTTGGTGTGTCTGAGAATCTAAGTTAATCAGTTCAAAACTTCTATGAAATGAGCTTGGCCACAAAGAAACAGTGATGTTTAGAAAAGTTACAATGCTAGGCAGTATTTAAGAATGAGTACCACCAAACAACACGACAAAACTCATATATAAATATGTTAAGGTACAAAGTCAAGGACACCTTAGGACTTTAAGTTTTATAGTCAGAAACCTTTAGGGTTAAATTAGGAGATTACGACGTGCATGTATAACTGTAAAGATAATGTATATACAGAATATAAAATGCTGGAAAATCATTTAAATTCCTTTGGAACTCAATGATTAATGTAATGCTGGAGGTCTCTTGAAAGACAGCAACCTTGAGTAACATACCACAGAAGAGGAGGAACCTCGTAAGTTAAGTTCCATCCCTTTTATATCCAAAGGCCTTGAGGATGGGGCTTTCCAGCAAAACAGTATAAAATATGTAGATAGAAAGATGAACCTCGACACTATTTGACACATTTCAGAGTTTATAGGAAAATGTGCAATCTAATGTAAAACATTATTTCACTCAGATGAAGTGTTTTACTTATGAAACAGGGTGAATAAAATCATCAACATACATTTATAAATTTTTAGAAAATTAAAAATTCAATGTTTTTAGACAGGAAGACCCACTCCAGAATCAAAAATAAGCACTTCTGTATATGGATCCAACATTAAAAAAACAAAGAAAAAAAAAAAAAAAGGACTCAGAAGTTCCCTGTCCAAAGCAGAAGGGGGCCCCATAATGGATTATGGCCTCATTCCTCAAGTCATCCTCCTCCATCCCTCTGTTCATACCTTGGTCATAGCATTTATAGCCTCTATTCTTTTTTTGGCTACAGTTCGTCTGGATTCCTGCCCACTTCTTTAAGCTACTACTAGTGCCCCCAATACTAATGGGTGTCTATTCATGCTATGAGCTCAAACTTCTGATGCCCACTATTACCTTTGCCTTTAGGATTTAAGTCCTACTATGTCTCTCGAATTCTGCTGTCTGCATTAATTGGCTTGACTTGAGTACCCAATGAGAACTTGTGTCCTCCCAGGTATGATGTCTGTAGCTGTCTCACTGTACAAACTAAAGCTACACCCTAGCCCAGACACCAGGAACTTGCCCTGCACTTGACCTCTATAAGTCTAATTTACACTGCATGGATCAAAAGGACATAGGTAGACTAAGTTTTGATCCATATAAAGGAAAATATTCTACTAATCAGAAATGACCCATAAAAGAAATGCTATGAGTATAGAAGCATAATACAGTAGCTATATGAATTGACTCTGGAATTGATAGCCCTGGGTTCAAACACAAATCCACTATCATATATCTGACTGAGCTTGTAATTTAACCTCTCTAAGTGTAAATCTTGTCAGCCACAGAATGGGGATACTAATCATCTTAAGAATGTATTTCATATAACTGTAATGACTGGACAGCTGTAAATAGGTTTACATATGTGAAGTGCTAACAACAGTGCCTACCATATAGAAATCAATATGGTCACTAATCTGGTCAACCATTAGAAATTGGATGACATTTTATTTTCCAAACCTAAGATTTTAGTATGATCCCTTGAAACAGTCATATGCAAGAAACTATCACAACCTCCTAATGATATTTAAAAATTTTTATTTTTTAAAAGTATCTACCTACCTAGTTTTAAAACATGTCTGCAAACTCATTAACACTTCTCTCATCAAGAGGTACAGCCCAATTTCCCTCCTGTTGAATATGGGCCAGCCAGAGTGAGTCACTTCTAACATATATGAAACAATGGTAGTGTACTATGTGGGTGCAGGGGCTAGGTCAAAGAAAGCAATACGAGGCGATAAGTCAGGCTCTTCCTAACTCTCTTTCACTTGGGACAGAAGTTTTGGAAGTCATATTACATGTAAGAAATCTGGCTACCCTGAAGGACCATGCTGGAGAGATCACATGCAGTAAGAAATGCTCAAAGAACCATATATCATCCTTCTATTGTTTGAGTCTTTCCAGCATTAATTGGGAGACATGTGGATGAGCCTTGAGATGACTGCAACCCAGCCTTCAAGCCACTCCAGCTGACACACACTGAAACAATGACAAGCTGTCCCATCTGAGCCCTGCCCAAACTGCAGATTCATGAGTAAATACATGGTGTCATTTCAAGCCACTAATATTTGGATTGGTTTGTTATACAGCATTGGAAAACCAGAATACTATCTTATGTATTTCTTCTTAAAATACTGGATAGCACATTTAAAAGATACTTAGTAGAATGAACAAAGTAGCATTCTCTAATAAAGTATCAAAACTCCTTAAAGCTGAGAAACTTTTAGGCAACAAATTGGTCCTATTTATTTCAACCAAAATGTACAAACCTCAATTTCCATTCTGGAGAATAACTTTACTTTCAATGCTGAATTTCAGAGAAGAGCCAAGACATCAGGAGTCAAAATGACCTTTGGTAAAAATGGCAGATATTCAGATAACTTGGGATGTGGCAATATGAAAAAATGCAGAGTTAGACTTCTGTCAGAAGCCTGTATTTACAGGATACAAAACCCACATTCTAGTCGCCTGTGATGCCAAGCAGCATAGTTCCCTTCTGGTCTCTTTGCCACTGAAAAAGGAATCCAGCTTGCTGTTCAGCATACCCATTCAAAATCCTTCCATGTCACATTTCAGAGCCAATTACTTGGATTCAGGTTCAGCCTTTTTGTAGTAAAAGGAATTTATTTTCCAATAAATTGGCTTCCTTCCAATTCATATCCTGTACTATGCAGTGCCCAAGAGGGTGCCACATCTGGTCAAGCAAAGTGTGTCAAGATAGCAGTAACTTAGGAGGGAGAGGGAACTTAACTAATAATATAATCAATATCCTGTGAAAAATAATAAACTGAAGAGTTTAGCTTCAATGTTCTGTAAGTTTGTCTGACATTTTGGTAAACACACTCTTAACTGAGCTTTCCAGTCAAAAAAGAATTCCTGACCTTCATATGTGACAAAATCCTGAAATACTTTGTTCATACATCGTGTTAGGAAGACTTTTAGATTTGTGTATAAGTTAGGAAGCTTTTGATCTCAAGGAGTAGAAAATCCTATTTGAATTGTTTTAAATAAAACAAATACATCAGTTTATATAACTGGAGAAACAAGGGTAAGAGAAGCTTCAGGTCTGGCTAATCCAGAAACTTAGAGAGATCATCAGAGATCCAGATTCTTTGCATGTCTCTGCTCTGCTGCCTAGAATATCAGCTACATCCCGTGGCTTGCTGTAGGACAGCAGTCAGGAAACTATGCCCATCCTCGTTCAGTTCTGCAGAGTAAAGAAAAAGCCTATCCCCACACAATAAGCCTGAATCCTTGTCATCTGCCCAATATGTCAGCTAAAGTCATGTGCCTAACTGGGATGCCATTGCTCAACAGCCTGGCGTGGGCTCACAAAGCCATCTCTGGCAAGAGAGGCCAGATTATCTGATAGACATAGAGCCACTGAGCCAATCATCCAGCACACACGTGCTGCACAAGGGGAAACAGACCCAGTGGATTCAAGAGACCAACCTGCCAGTCCACAAAAATTCGTTATTTACTAAAGTCCTATTTGATCAATTAGAAAAAAATGAATTCCTCCATTTCCAAGTGGATTTTGTTCTGAAGTTCCTGTCCCTCACCTTGCCCCGTTAGCTTTTATCTTGAAGTATGAATAGGGCATAGGAGGCATAGAATGCATTTTCCCAGTGAAGAAATATATTTGCCATGTGCCCAAATTAACTCTTGGTATATTTAAACCATTTATAGTGGAAGTATTTAAGCTGGGAATGCACTTTTCCCTCCTTTCCCAGTAAACCAGAAAAAGTAGAAACCTATCTACAGACCACCATGCCCTGGCAGAGGCAAGGAATTCCCCACAAGCAACCCCCAGCAAGAGCAGCAAAAATACTAAGAATAAAATCTTCTACAGTAGCAGTAGCTTGGATGGCAGGAATGTGAGCTTCCCTATACAAAGGCCATCTGTGCTTACAGAACACTGGTGAGTCACTAACATAAACGTGTTTCATCGGATATTTTCTTGACTCCTCTCAAAAAAGAACACCCTATTAACTAATTTTTTTAGTACAATGTTATAATATCCTAACGATGTGGATGACTCCTTTTAAGTCAGTTCCGTGTTTTTCTTAGTAAAATTTTACTTTTATTCATTCTCTTGAACAGTTTTGTTCCCTTCAGGAACTCAGAAATACCCAGTATAATGAAAACCTTGTTTAATAACCTAATGATGATGTTTATGAGGATACTGATGACAGTAAACTGAGCTACCCTTTACAAGGTCCACTCCTCTGTATAATCATCACAACAGCTGGCTGGAGTAGGTGTTACTGGCCCCCGTTCACACACATGGAAATTCAGGCTCCAGGCACTTTGGTAATATGCCCAAGCTCACGTGATTAGAACATAGTGGAAACAGGATTCCAGCACAGCAGATATGAATCCAAAAATCCAAGCACAGAAAATTTCAACTAATATAACTTGCAAATACTTGATTAAATTGAGTCAAATTATCTTACTTTTTTTTCAACTTTGACCCCTTCCCATCTTTCCCTCACCCCGTACATTACTCACGGTATTTTAAGAAGGGAAGAAAAATTATATCCCAAGAAAAATGTTGCCCTCTGCCTTCTTCTCTCTGGCTCTGAAATAGTAACCGTGGTGCCCACCAAGGTTTCTCAAAGCAGGCTATTGACCTTGCCCGAGCTGACAAATTGTTCACCTGTACTCCATCTCCCAACAATGCCAGATGACGGCTCACTCTATGATATTATTATTATAGTTGGCACTAAACCAAATAGATAATTGATTCATTCTCTGTTCACCAAAAGCTGAAATCCTACCCCAGCAACAATCTGACAAGAATATTGGCATCACAGATGAGTTGAGACGTTATTTTCTAGATCAGGGCTTCTCAGACTTTAATGCACACAAGAAACACCTGAGGATCTTGTGACACTGCAGCTTCTTGTTCAGTAGGTCCGCAGCAAGCCTGACATCATGCATATCTAACAAGCACTCAGGCGAGGCTGACGCTGCGGCTCCACAGTCTACACTCAGAAGCAATCATTCTGTTCTCAGCAGAACTCACTAAGAACAAGAAGGAAAGCGCGTGCTCTCCATATTACAGCAGCCACCAAACCACTCAAATTACAGTCACAGGTTGCCAATATGAATCTTAAGTAGCATGGTATCCTTTTCCAAACTGCTACTATGAAATTGGTATTTTTACTTACTGAGGCAATTTGTTGCTGCCTCACAGATAGTGTCTTCCAAAGAGCATTCAGTATAAGTCTCGTCAAGCTTGGGAAATATATTCCTCCTGGTGAGACACACGCATGTGTAATATTGAAAATTGAGATATATTCTAGTATAAAAATAAAAGTTACTAAACCAAGGAGTTTTCAAAGTAATCTGACCATGGAAGAAGATTTTAACTTCTGAGCCCTTACTAACATCCTATTAATATTGCTTTTATTGTTATTCTACTGTCCTACAGAACACATATTTGAAAGATACAAACACACCTTTGGAGAATCCAAAGTATGTAGCTTTGATCAGAATTTTGTCCTTGCTAATGCTGCAAAAGTATGAACTCTAGGACTTAGTCTTATCATCACAAAGTAATTGTAAACATCTTAAATGAATGGATGAATTTTGTTAAAAATAAACTTCAGAGTAAAGAACTAGCCGATTTTGCTCATGTGATTTATAATCAAGGAATACCTGGGTAATTAGAAGATTTTAGAAACAATTTATAATAATCACCAATCAGACAACAAGGGGGAAAATAACATACAACCGTAAACAGATAAAGGAATCATTAACCATTGGAAAATGCCAAAATTGAAGTTTATTATATGCATGCACAATATGAAAAAGGGTAATTTCTATCACTGAACAATATGGCAGTCACTGGCCACCCTAGGGGGCAGAGGAGGAGTCACTGAGGAGGAGCTGTCTGTATCATAGTAAAGTGGGTAATGCCTTTGAAGCTAAGAAGATTCTTTGCATGCCCTGGTCAGCACTACTAGAGCTGCCAGTGTGTCCAGTTAAAATACATCTCCAACCCAGTTTGTAACTATGACTGGTCCTGTGATAGCAGAATTAACCTGGTGAGGTTCTTGAAAGTCTTGAAAGTCTTTTTTTTTTTTTTGAAGACAGGGTCTTGCTCTCTCACCCAGGCTGGAGTGCAGTGGCATGATCCTAGCTCGCTGCAGCCTCAAACACCTGTGCTCAAGTGATCCTCCCGCCTTGGCCTCCCAAAGTGCTGTGATTACAGGCGGAAGCCACCATGCTTTTTTTCCCCAAGCCACCATTCTTCCTGCCTGAAACATGAACCTGATGCCAGAAAGTGCCAACTGCCACAAAGCTATGCTTGTGGTGTGACAAGCATGAGGATAAGGGCCACAGACTAAGGATGGCAGGAAAGGAGAGCAAAGGAGCCTGCACTCCTGGAGGCATCACCTTGGCTGCCTATTTCCAGATTCCTCTTTGCATAAGGCCCATAAACTCATTAATGATTTAAGCCACTATTGTGTTTTGTATTACTTGCAGCCAAACGTGCAAAATTACTTTGCTTGCTGTAATATTCACTAGTTGTGCATCCTGGGCATGTGGCAACTGTTGGGCCTCACTTTACACATCTACAAAATGGTAAGGTAGGCCGAGCATGGTGGCTTCCGCCTGTAATCACAGCACTTTGGGAGGCCAAGGCGGGAGGATCACTTGAGCACAGGTGTTTGAGGCTGCAGCGAGCTAGGATCATGCCACTGCACTCCAGCCTGGGTGAGAGAGCAAGACCCTGTCTCCAAAAAAAAAAAAAAGACAAACAGAAAAGCAGTATCTTTCAACAATTAATAGTAGGTAGGCCCTTTCCCCCTTAAAGTCATGTATGTTGAATCTGAGAGTTCTGCAGGTCTGTCTAGGCAGCTCTGATACCCTGATGCATGCCTATTTATAATGGTTCCTCATACCTTGCTCAGGTTGAAACCACCACCAGGGGTCCACACATATTTGAGCATATCTGGTGAACTGCATTACTATTTCACAGAAGCCTAGTCAGAGACAATGAGGTAGTTTCCTTGAACAAACAAGCTCAGTCATCAGAGAACAGGGGTGAGCACAGCATGTATAGCAGCAATTTGTCAAATCTGTCCCTGGATCAGCTCTGAGGGCTTGAAATAAAGAAAGCTCTAAGCAAAACCACAAGAGTTCTTCCCCTGAACTTTGCAAAACACTAAGGATTTTTTTTTTTAAACTGGGGAAAATCCTTCTAAAGGGTGTAACACAAAAGGAAGAAAAGTATTACCCTCATGCTTTGCCACTGACTACAAATCAGCACTTAGCGGCAAGTGAGACCACTTGGAGGACTGATAGTGTCAAACAAAGCAAGGCATTCTCAACAGCAGGACCCCTGGAATGTTAAGAGCCATGACTTTTACTTCCCATTTTTCACCTGCTCAGTGATAGGCAGCAGTCCTTCACCTGCTCTCAGGGATGAGACTGTGGGCAGACCCTGTGGCTTTTCTGAACACTTAGGAAATAAAAAGCCTCTAAATCTCTTACCCCCACTCCCATGTGGTGAAGGAGAGAACCTATGTTTTGTAAAGGGTAGATTCTAGTTGACTTTTTCTCTTCCACACATCTCCTTTTCTATTACTAACCACTTCCAAGATCACTGTGGGGCATAGTGAAGGAAAGTTCTTGCTTGATACTTAAAGATTCCTTTTCTCTGGCCAAGGAGATGGGCTAGAGCCAGCTCTCTCTTGTGAATATTATTTTCACAGGTTATTTGAGACTTACTTCCTTAGTAGGCCTCCACAACTATGACTTTGCCAATGTGGGCAGTGCCTCTCCTGTGGCCAGCCACACCTTACCCCTCAGCTTCTATACCCCATGGTATTCCCCACAGCCTCATACTGATGAGGTTTCCCATCCTACTGGCATTACCCTTGTAGAAAATGACCCCAGGTAAACATTTCCACTGTGGGTTCACCAACAGGCCCTTGGGATCCATGCACCTTTGGGTTAGGAATGCAGCCACCTGCTGCAAGTTGTGCTGTCTTTTCCACATGCCACAGGCCACATCAGCTTCACAAAGTATGAGTTGCATACCAGACTACCATGACCCCACAACTAGGGGAAAATCACATGGTGTTTTCCAAGTGATTCCATTGAAGGTCCCATCACTCTATGTAAAGATGTAAGGCTTGGCCGGACGTTGTGGCTCATGCCTGTAATCCCAGCATTTTGAGAGGCTAAGATGGGTGAATCACTTGAGGTCAGGAGTTTGAGACCAGCCTGGCCAACATTGTGAAACCCCATCTCTACTAAAAATACAAAAATTAGTTGGGCGTGGTGGCAGCCCATGTAATCCCAGCTACTCGGGAGGCCGAGGCAGAAGAATCACTTGATTCTAGGAGGCGGAAGTTGCAGTGAGCTGCGGTAACGCCACTGCAGTCTAGCCTGGGCAATGAGACTCAGTCTCAAAAAAAAAAAAAAAAAAAAAAAAGGATGTAAGGCTCACAACAAAATTCACCCAAAAAACCCTTCTCACAAAATTCTTTCCCCGTTGCCACCCTCCTCTTTTTTTAAAATCCATGTTAAAGAATTGTGTAATTAACTTTTGCAAATATCCTTTGAAAATCTCTAGCTTGATCTGGTAACTCCCTTCTGTATAGAAAACCAACGGCAAAATATTTTTCCCAGCTGAGCAGCAGAAAGAATTACATACCCCAGAGAGACAGGGGTGACATGAGCAGGAAGGATTTCTTAGGGAGGGTGAGACAGTCCCTGAGGAGTCCCCAAATTTACAAGGTGGGAACAGGAAATTTGGGGGTTTAGAGATCTTGTAATCTTAAAATTGGTGAAGTAAGCAAGTAAAACTTCAACTATTACTGTTAATATAACTACATTGATACTCAGGAGCTGGTAAGGTCTAGATAAATTCACTTTACCTAAATGTAATGATAATAAATTCTAAATTATGGTACATGAGAGAAGAACACAAATTACCCAAAGTTACATCTGTATAGTCTTGAAATGTATTAAATGATTCAGTGTAATTATCAAGTAACTTTATAATGATATTGTCCCTAAGATAATATTAAGGCTACTTTGGATATCCATAGTATAAACCTCTGAAAACATGTAGAAGCATCCTGAGTTGCAGGGATAGTCAGTCTAGGATTTAAAAATCAAACTACAGAAAGTCCACAAAATGGATAACATATACGTTCAATAGCCATCTCATTCATGTGTTTCCCCAAAAGGAAATTATAGGACGTATTCCACACCAAGCCACAGAAATATTTTCTTAAAATTCTTTGTCCAGAAATTATTAAAACCCTGGAATAAGGGTTAGGTGGAATCCTTCAATATAACACTTTCAAGGAGAAGTGAGGGGAGGTGTGGGGAAAGGAAGGAAAGAGAGAGAGAGAGAAAAAAAACAGCATTTTACCAGCTAGAATAAATAATAACTCGTCTACCCACTTGGACTCAGGAACCCTGGACATAAGCTTCTGAGGAACCGATCAAAAACTCTACTGAAGTACAACATCTGACAGCCACGGGAACTCAGCCACTGCATGGTTTTCCTCATCCCATTATGTACAGAGCTTTCTAGCAATGCTGAGCATTTCCAAGCAAATAAATAAACACAAAAGACTACATTTCAAAAACAGCTGCCTAAATTGGAGTCATAAAACACATGCACACTGAATGTGGGTACATGCCCACACAAGCTGGACTTGTAAAGACTGCAGCAAAAGAATGAAAAACAGAAGAAGAAACCTGGGAGTGACACTTTGAAGCAGATTTAAGGAGCATGCTGCGTAAAATATACACTACAGAGTCATCTCATCCATGCAGAAAACTGCACATACAGCCAACACGGTACTGGAGGAAGCTCCCATTCATGTTTTCTTTACTCCAAGACAACACAAGCCAGATGCCAATATCCAAATATTCTTCACGTACAAATTAAGCATTAAATGAATGGTAAAAGTGCTTATTCTGGTATAATAAAAATCGTGTTGTTTTTATTTGAATGGCTGATATAAACAAAACACTTTATTTAATGCCATTAAAGGTTTCAGAGCTAACATTTTCCTAAAACTAAATGCAGCATTTTCAATTGTCCTATGAAGTTATGTTGAACTGTTTATATTATTAAATCGGTATGCCCTCTTCTCATAAAAAATGTTACAGAAGTAACACCCAACTGAATCAGGAACAAGGCATAGTATGAGAAATAAACATAGAACATAATATAAGGACAATATAATAATTTGAAGCCTGAAAGCATCTACATTACTTAATTATTAAACAAGAATGGGTAGTCTATGCCAGTTGATTAAGTAAAGGTATTTCTAATTTCTAGGAGCTACTCATTGTTAATTTTATCAATGAAAATGATGCTGTAAAATTTTTCTAACAAGCACTTCCATTGCCATTACTATTTCAGAGTTACAATGTTATTCCTTGTGATGAATGCACCATACTCCCAATGTTGTTAACCATCCTCCTTTGTCTATTAATTTGTTTATAAAAACATTCACTCATAACAATTATTCAGCCCAGCTGTGCTATGTGCTAAGGCTTCTGAGACAAGTAACACAGCTTCAAGGAGCCTACAGCTTAGAATGGGAAAGAAACCAGTAAGGAATGATTATAAAATCAGGCAAAATGTGTGGTAATAGAGGTAAGGTTATTCAAAACTTGGATGTCAAACTGCTTTCACAGACATAAGTTTATACACAAATCATGGAGTAGGGAGGGAAATGATTATAACCCCAAAATTCAGAGCATGGACTCCAAGATTAAATCTGTCATCTATGATGATATATAGTTGATTAGGAGAAGAGTCTCCGCTAGAGCCCTACATTTTTCACTACACTATGCTGAATTTCCCAGCTCATGAAGATTTTGACAAAAAGTCATCATCATATATCATATATACAACTAGTTATTGAATTCATGTGCTTCCTAGATCCGTATTCGGGACTCCAGTGTAGAAGCTAGTGCAATAACCTGTATGTACTGATCCTGTGAAATTTTAATGACTTTCTGTTCTTTCTTTCTCATTTCTCAACTCTCTCTCTTAACCTTTCCTGTCATCCCTTTCTAGTTGAAAGGACTTCAGTCATTAGTAGTCTATGACTGAAAAACAGTGAGGGCAGCCTTAAAGCAAGCATCATTAAACTTTAACTTAAAAACAAGGCCAAGAGCAGACCACACAATCTATGTAAGCATGTGCAGAAAAGATGTGGCCACCAAGCTATTGAATACTAACTCTATGCTACCCTGGGAACCTTCTCACAAACATTCCTACAGTTTCACTTCCAGAGGCTACTACCCACATGCTGCCGGTGGGTGGGGGATATGCAAGTGCATTCAGATATACTTAATCTGCAAAAGCACAAACACTGTCTTAATTATAATCTAATAATTCTAATAAACTCATGGTTAAATTCATGGCCAAATAATGCCCTTACTTTTTTCAGCAATGCTCTACTTGATTGAAAATCTTTGTTTTAGAATTTTACTTTTGAAATCTGTCAGAATAGCACATTCTTTTCAAATATCCTCAATAATGACATAACCTTTAAATATAGGTGTGGTTTTGGGGGTAAAAATGATTTTTATTAGAGGCAATGCCTTGTTTTCACTGATGATATCATCATAAGAGCTTCTCAGAGGAGGTCATTATTTATAAGGACAAATAAATAATTGTTTATATTTGATAACCTAATATTCTCTGACAGTCTTGATAATTCCACGAGTTTAGAGTTAACAAAACAGAGGCTTTTTCCAGTTAGAAAACTATCTCAGATTTTGCTGGTTGTTGCTTAGTTCAAGGGCCTGCAGGGAACTCCAAAGAAAATATTCCCTCTAGTAATACTTGGATTAAATTGGTGATTTGGATGTTTTGGCCAATTAAGACACTAGGGAATTACCAGCCTCAACCAGACACAGCCTCTGTAATATAAAACTGAACCATATGTGGTCTTAGTTTCTCAATCACATAAATTTGATGGAGGGAAGCCAACTAAAGAAGAAAATCTATGTCACATGATTTCTACCCTAACTCTAGTTGCTGAAAAAGCTCTGAAATAACCCTTTCCAGAGGCAGTGCTGGAGCAAGAGGTGATCCACCATCCTGAGGAAAAGAAGGTGGATTAAAACAGGCAATCCTGCAAGTTGTCTTCCAGGGCACGATCTTTCACAAAGCAGACCAAATTAAATGAAGCAAATGGTGCTCCTAGACCTAAAAGGAATATGTTGATTCCCAGTTCTTTCTTCTTCAAAAAGATTTCAGTGCGAACCTACCAATTGTCTGGGCTTCTCAAGTTTCATTTCTAAATTTAATTTGACCTAGTAATGTTTGCTGGGAAGAAAAATAGAACTTTGAGACAGCAGAATACAGGGTGGAGATCAGCCAGACTGAAAAAGTGGGAAAATTGGAGATTCTAGTCATGGCTGTTACTCCCACCAGCTGTGTGCCTGTCACCTGTCTGGGTGGCAGGCTCCTCTGTCACATGAGAGTACCAGCAAACACTCCACTTCTGAAATCATCCTTAACCTTCTCACTTTTGGCTAACAAAGCAAATTCCCAGTATCTGCATTATGGGCTGCTATATATGGATAAATATGTTCATTCTTGGGGGTTAGTTCCTGTTGCCACTAAATTATCTAAAGATGTCTCCCACCCTTTGGTCATAAGTAATTACCTTTGTGAACTGCAAAACTTTCCACTCTGTGGGAAAAAAGGGTAACAATCAAACTGCATACACTGTAGAACAGGACCACACAGTCCACACAGGCATGGAGCAAAGCATTCTATAATGATAGAATATCACTGCTCTCAAAGCATCTGGAAGTCTTTCAGATTAAATCACTGTAGTCTACAAACAGTGTAGAAATAATTCAATCATCCCCACCATGGCTGAGGAAATTGAAGGATGAACAGTTTTCAGAAGGAAATTTGAAAGCAAGATCCAATTTACCAATATTTTCTACAAGAAAAGCAATAGAGTTGTAGAAAATAACAGTGAAACAAACAGTAATCCATTTTATGTATTATTATTATAGAAAGAGACCAGAACTTGATATACCCACCTGCCACCCACTACCCACCCCTATAATCCACCACTGATTCAATAGAAACTCATTTGGACACTAATGATAGAAAAATTTTTTTTTAACGTTGAAAAATAGTCATCCATGAGAAATTCTTAAGTTAGTCTAAAGATACACTCTAAAATTTGTAAATGAATTTACAACAAATTAAGGTTATGCTTTGAGAAAATTCCAAATTTTATTCTGGAACGAAAATATTAAAAATATTTGTATTTTAGACAAGTACTGAAATGTCTACCCTTAATACAAAAGGTGTCAAATGCCACCCTATAGAGATCTTGACCCTACCTAGGTCTTATGGAAGGATTCCCTTAGAGTCACATGGTGAAATGTCACAATATTTTACCCGTACATTTATCTGGACCACAG
This sequence comes from Homo sapiens, assembly GCF_000001405.40. Classification (NCBI taxonomy): domain Eukaryota; kingdom Metazoa; phylum Chordata; class Mammalia; order Primates; family Hominidae; genus Homo; species Homo sapiens. Next base: position 100,822,005 of record NC_000011.10, on the reverse strand, counting down.
GATGGTCATTGGATATTCACCATCAGCAGCAGTATTCTACCTAGATGAAGAAATCGAAAGAAACGTACAATTCTTGCTCTGGAAATGATTTAAATCTCCAGTCATTAGCAACAAGCCCATCATTTGCCACTGAAGAAATGTGGTTCGGATTAATGTAAAATAAGAATGAATACACAAACACATTGCTTAAGGTGTTTCAGTTGTCATAATAAAGTATAGCTTCAAACTGCATTGGAAGGAAAAGAAATATAAACACAGTATACGACAAAGCAGAAAAGATAGTGAAGAGAATAACTAAATCAAGTTAAAAGGTGGCAATAAGAGGAAGGAAAGATGTCTGCTGCTTTCTTGGTTTTCTTTTTCTTTTACTTTTTCCTTTTCCTTTTTTTTTTTTTGTGGTGGGAGTAGGGTAGGCTAAGGGGAGGAAAGGAGGAAGATAGCTTGCCCAGGCATACAAGGGATGTTTCACAGCCACATTTTACTCCTACTGATAGAACAATGGGATGATTCTTTCGTCATTTTGAATAGGCTGCCAATATCAGGCTCCTCAGGCTGCCCCCAATAGCATACTTAAAACTCGATGATCTGGAAACTCAACTCACTTCCTTCTAAAGAAGGCAGAGGGCATTTCCAAACTATATAACAAAGAAGCCTCACTCTAGCCACACTTTCCTATTTCCTCAGCTCTGACCCACCTCAAGTCTTTGGCTGAGAATGCTCCTCCCACCTGAAAGGGCCCTAGAATTTACTTGCTTTTTCCAAACCAGAATTCTATCCAGTCCTGGTAACAAAGGTTTGAGGTAACAAAGGCTTGTTACTTCAGTCCATACTCATCTCTCTCCATCTCCTTTTATACTTACAGGGAGCTCATCACAATTCAACCAGGCCATGTTTTTGAAATGCTTCAGGTTTATAATAGGCTTTTCTATTTAACTAGATTGTAAGCCTTCCTCCAAGGCTAAGTCAGATACCTTTTCTTACATCTCCCCAGACAGCCGGACAGCTGGAAAGGGAAGCACTAAAAAAGAAAACAAAAACAAACAAACAAACAAACAAAAAAAGATGACCCACAGTTAATTTAAAAAAAAAAAAGTTTTATCTTAAAACATTTCCGGTCGTTGCATTTGTCACAATGTTATTACTAGAAATCATAAAATGAACCTTATTTTTCCATTGTTTTGAACAGCTGCATTCATATTTAAAGACTGAAAGTGTAACTAACAATACATTAGACAAAACAAACTAAGCCTCTATAGTTACTGAAAAAAGTCAAACTGTGGTCCAAATCCCAAGTATCTGTTTATATAGAGAGGTATAAATACACAGACAAACAGGGTCCCAGTATACTATTATAGAGCATGGAGCGATTAAAATAATATGAAATTACTACTCTGCAATATCATAAATTTGACTTAGCATAAACTGATCTATTAGCTATAATAAGCCTCACTTAACCATGTTCTCCATCTTTTTAAAGCATGACTGGAGTTAAAGTTTCTTTAATCTTTTTAAAGTCTCTTTAAGTCTGTCCAGGGAAATCTGAAGAGATGCCTTCTTTTTCTCTCAGTAGCTTTCCAAATGGTAGCAAAGAACATTCAGGAGTCCCTCTACTGATGAGAACAATGTTCTGCAACTGACATCATTTGGCAAATAGGCAAATATGGCCATGGTAGCCTCCAAAAACCCTAAGAACATTATATGGTGACTTCAGACTTCATTGACTTCTGGCTTACTGGTAACTACCCCCACTTCAGAACTACCCAATAATCTCAATGGTAGTCTTCAAACAGAAGTACAAGTGGTGTCATGAAACAGAGAAAAAGAGACAGCTATGAAACTAGAGAAAGGAAGATACAATCACACTCCATTAGTAATTAGCAGGAGTTGCCTGGGAACCACCGAAATAATATGAAACCCAAGCCTTTATTATGCTTTACCTTTTCATATTTACTGCCTCCGAGCCCTGTGGCATACTAACAGGCTGAGATCCTGCACCAAAAATTATCAAATGAAAATTTGAGAAATCATAGAAATTTCCAAAAATTAATATGCAAAATGAAATGGGAAATGCCAATGATGAAAAAGAAATACTGTGCCACTAAACTCAAAATGAATATTCTTAAATCAAGAATTCCTAAATATCAGGGAGGAAAAACAAGTGCCTCACAAGCCATTCATGTTCTAATCTTGAGCCCTTTCATTATTCTATATTTGGATACAGATTTGGAAAGCTCCCTAATAATTTGATTTTATTTAACATATAATTATGTGGCTCTTATCTGGCAGGCAGTGTTCTAAGAGCTTTAAAAATATTAGCTTAGTTAAGCATCATACTAACCTTAAATCGGTGCTATTATTATCCTCCTATCACTAATGGGGAAACAAATGAAATGTTAAGTGATCAAACAGTTCATGAGAGGCAGATGCAAGATGCACAAATTTCATATTCTGTGCTCTTAATCACTATGGTACCTCTCCTAAAACATTGCAAGCTAAACTCAGCAAATTTCCTACTATCTGCAATCCATCATTCCCTTCACATGCACTGGCATTCACTTGGTAACCTATAAACCTCATCCTCCTCTCCCATCTCCTCAGCCCTGTACCCCAAACCATAAGTTATTATCCCTGCCATTTCTATTTTCACTCACTACTCTCACCACTTGTTTACATCTCCTTCTCTCCATCTCCACTAGAGGAGTTATCATTTAGGACCCATGAGTTCTTCTCAGCATTAATACAATAGCCTTCTGACTAACCTCACTTGCCTGTGGACTCCTCCGATGAGCCGTTCTAAATACTAACAATAAAACTGATCCGTTCTGTATACCTTTATTCATCCAGGTCCACTGCTATGTTTGGTGAATGCAAAAATGAATCAAAGTCCTGCTGTTTAGGGAGTGACAATCCAGTCTCCCTAGCTCTGATCATGTAACCCCAAAAATACTCATTAAAGTTCTGATGCTTGCTGAATTATGTCCAGCTCCTTAGCCTGGTTTCTAAGGTCTTTATTATATGAAATTTTTTCTTCTGCTCCTCTACATAACCCATTTTTTCCCTACTAAAGCCATCCATGTTTTTGCATCTCCCTACATTTGCTTATGTCTTCTTTCCTATGAGAATGCCATCTCTACCTCTACATAATCTGGCTGAAATCTTACCCAACTGTCAAGGCTAAGTTTTCTCAGATATCACCAGATGACAGCTTCCCATAGACAAAACAAACAAACAAACAAACAAACAAACAAAAACAGAGAAAAAATACACCGTACCACTTCGAATCAGATAGAAGGTACCAGTATGCCTTTCACTGCCCTGTTTACAAACAAGCTCTGATTGATATAAAAAGATGTAAGCTGTCCTTTTGGATAAATATATTCTCCAATATTCACTCCAGGAACAGTCAGCTCAGCTGAACAGTCCTTTCTCCCTGGCATTTCCTTCTCTCCTCTCCTTTTCCCCTCTATCTGCTGTCATTGGCATATATCATTTCAGAGCTGATAGCAGAGGCTATATCCTCCACTAAGTCTTTCCAAATTCCTCCAGCTAGAAGTAACTCCTCCCTCCTCTGAACTTGGGTAACAGTCTGCCTGTGTGCCTCTTCTAGCACCCATCACATCCTACATCACTGACGTTATGTACATGCATCTCCGTCAATAACTCAGCATCTGAAGAATGGACCCTTGTCTTACACATTTGTCAATCGTATCTATCATGGCACAGAGGCTACCAGATGGTAAGGATAATGGGTGAATAATGGGTCAGTGGATGATTGCATTTATACATGCTGGTCCAGGCAAAGAAGCTAACAAAATTAAAAAAGGTGAACAAGATAACTTTGGAGGAAGCAGGATGGAAGGACCAGGGGGACACACAATAATGGGTAGATCAGCAGGCATTGCTAGCCTCTTTCAGGCAACATAATTCCTTTCCCTTGCTTTACCATGCTAGATCTGGCCTCAGACTATTGGAGCCAATATGAATGGTTTGCAATTTACAAAACTACTGTTTCACAAAAGCAATCAGTGGAAATAAAAGTCCTTGACTTGCCAAGCTAAAACTCTGATAACATTGTGACAGACTGTTACCATCTTGGTTTGTGTAACTATCAGTATCATCACCAACACTTCACGCAATGCCCTGTGGATTTTTGGGGTATGGAGATAGCTGAGTAATCTTCTGTGAGGTTAAAAGTTGCACTTCTGAATGCCTGTTAGACTTTCAGTTCTGCCACCTATAGGCATTAATGGGTAGGCCTCAATTCTTTCATCTATAAAATTGGAATAATAACAGTCATCTTGTGCAGTGGCTCTGAGGATTAAATGAGAGCATTCATGTAAGAAGCTTAGAGTAATGTCTGGCTTATACGGAGATGTTAAGCAACATTAATTATTATACAAATGTGTAAAATGTATTTGAGTTTACGAAACTTATACTCAAATTGGAGAAGATTATACTTGCACAAATACTTCATCTGAATTCAATTCAACATTTCCTGAGCTTCAACTTACACATAAAGAGACAAGGTTGGGCACAAAAAAGAATAAAGATAAGAAGCTCCCCTATCTTTAGAGATCTTCAGTCTAATAGATAAGACTAATAAGTACCCCCAACTAATTATAAGTCAGATAATGTTAAGGGATACCTATTAGATACACTAGAAAGGCACCCCAGTAAATACACCACTCCAGTGGTTCTCAAATGGAGATATCTGGCAATGTCTGCAGACGTGTTGGGTTGTCACAACTAGGGAGAAGGCAACATTATTGGTCTGCTACTGGCATTTAGTGGGTAGAGTACAGGGATGCCGCTAAATATCCTACAACACATGAAATAGTCCTGTGGAATAGGAAAGCACCCTGCTCAAAATGTCAACAGTGCTGGGTGGAGAAACCCCCTGTCCTCTGACTGGAAATGAATTGTATTCCGGAGTGTCAGTCTTCAGGTCCCCACCTACAGCCTGATTCACTTCTGGTGAGACAGGCTTCCTGAGACTTTAGCTGTCTGGAACTCTGCCAGTGGCTTCTAATGGTTATTTCTCTTATAGGCTTATCCTCCTTTTGATCCAAGTCTATCTTTCCACTTGTCACCACATTGCTAATCAGGCCATGAGCAGACCCCACAAAGCTGCCTAGATTCCTAGCTTTACCATTCTCCAATGTGGCTTGTCTCATCCTCATCCAAGCTCCAGTTACAACAACACCAAGAAGTTTGCCATGGAAATGTCAGGCTATTCTCATTTTTATCGCCTGCTTTTTGGGGGCTGGCAGCAAAACCTCTTAAAACATTGCCTGAAAAGAATAAAAGGCAAAGGAAATTATTGTTAACTAACTGTTGCCAATTAAAATAATGAAACTTTGAATGACTAAATTATCCAATGTATAAACATACTTTATATTAGTCTGTTTACACAATGATCATCATTCTTAATCATTTAGCATCTTAAAATGCACAGTAAAAAATGTTTGATGTTTTGACAATATCTGCCCTATCACAAAGCATGCTCTTGCATCAGTGTCTTGAAATAGTTGATGCTTCCTATTACTTTAAAATATTCACTCTCTGTTAACCGTGTGAATTCATGGATATAGAGCACATATCTCCACCCACCCCAACCATGTCTAAGAGCAAAATTAAACCCCAAAGTTGTCATACCCATTAGGATGGCTACTATCAAAAAAAAACAAAAAAACAAGTGTTAGTGAGGATGCAGAGAAACTGGAATACTTGTGCTCTGTTAGTGGGATTGTAAAACAGTGCAGCCATTATAGAAAACAGGATGGCAGTCCCTCAAAAAATTAAAAATAGAATTACCATATGATCCAACAATACTACTTTCTGGACTGTATCCAAAAGAATTGAAACCAGGGTCTCAAAGACATATTTGTATGTCCATACTCAAAGCAGCATTATTCACAATAGTTAAAAGGTGGAAGCAATCCAAGTGTCCCTCCATGGATAAATAGATGAACAAAATATAATGTATACATACAATGGAATATTATTCAGCCTTGAAAAGGAAGGAAATTCTGACGCATGCTACAACATGAATGAATCTTGAGGACATTATGTGAACTGAAAAAAGCTAGTCACAAAAAGACAAATACTATATAATTCCACTTGCACATAGTATCTAGAATAGTCAAACTCCTAGGAACAGAAAGTAGAAGGGTGATTGCCAGGGGCTGTGGGGAGGGGGAGATAGGGAACTGTTGTGTAATGGTATAGAGTTTCAATTTTGCAAGATGACAAGTTCTAGAGATTGGTAGCATAATAACGTGAATATACTTAATACTACTCCACTGTTCACTTAAAACTGGTTAAGATGGTACATTATATGGAATGTGTATTTTACTACAACTACAGAAAAACAAAGTTGTTAATATTTAATGTCACTTCTAGGTATTCTCTAATTGGACTCATTAACTCAAAATTCTTTGCACATCTAAGAAGAAACATATCTGCACATCTATCTGGGAACTAGGCTCAGAGCAACAAACATAGCTTAGATTTAGTGCATTTTTCAAGGGAAAATAAATGTTGTAAGTTATACAGAATAGAGCATCAGTGATTAACATGGCCAAAATTCCATGCATGTAGACTCTATTTCTCTTTCACACAATTTGCCTTAAAAAGGGTGATTTTTGAAGGCAATCCAGCCTACATAAATGACTATCAACATGGAAATGATTGGGTAAATTATGATACACGCACATAATGAAAGAGTAGATGTATAACAGTGCAAGGATGTCTATGAAACAAAGGCTAATGGAAAAGGAACCTGCAATATAATACCCTTCATACATCCCATGTTGCTGTTCTAAGCACTTGGTACCAGCAGTGTTAAATAATTTTGGGTCCTGCTGAAAGAGGTTATACAATTTAATGGAGACAAACTAAAACACAAACATGTATATGGTCACAGATAGTAAGTTCCATAAAGAAAAAGTACTGGACACCATAAGAGGGAGCACTTGTTTTAGAGGGCCCAAGGGAAGTGTCCACCATGAGGCCAACTCACATCTTATGTAAACTGAGGCCTGAAGAATGAACAAGATTAAGTCAAGTGACGAATGGAAGAAGAAACACCGTATGTGAAGGCTCCTACATATCTGTACATACTAAGTGATATGGTTTGGATCTGTGTCCCCACCCAAATCTTATGTTCAACTGTAATCCCCAGTGTTGGAAGTGAGGCCTAGTGAGAAGGGACTGGATCATGAAGGTGGATCCTTCAAGAATAGCTTAGCACTATCTCTTTGGTGCTGTTCTTGTGGTAGAGTTCTCATGAGATATGATTGTTTTAAAAAGTTTGTAGCCCCTCCCCTATCTCTCTCTCCCTCCAGTTTGTGCCATGTAAGATGTTCCTACTTCCACTTCCGCCATGACTGTAAGTTTCCTGAGGACTCCCCAGAAGCAGAAGTTGCTATGCTTCCTGTACAGCCTGCAGAACTGTGAGCCAATTAAACCTCTTATCTTTATAAATTACCCAGTCTCATGTATTTCTTTATACCAATGTGAGAACGGCCTAATATTAGAAATGGATATAATCATTATTATGCCCAAAGAGTTAGATTTCAAAGCCTGTTAGTGAGAGCCCTTTGTTCTGCTATTTTCTTTTCTTTTCTTTTTTTTTTTTTTTTTGAGACGGAGTCTTGCTCTGTCGCCAGGTTGGAGTGCAGTGGTGTGATCTCGATCTTGGCTCACTGCAACCTCTGCCTCCCAGATTCAAGTGATTCTCCTGCCTCAGCCTCCCAAGTAGCTGGGACTACAGGTGCACGCCACCATACCCAGCTAATATTTTTTTTTTTAAGAGACGGAGTCTCGCACTGATGCCCAGGCTGGAGTGCAGTGGTGCGACCTCTGCTCACTGTAACCTCTGCCTCCCTGGTTCAAGCAATTCTCCTGCCTCAGCCTCCTGAGTAGCTGGGATTACAGGCATCTGCCACCATGCCCAGCTAATTTTTTTGTATTTTTAGTACAGACAGGATTTCACTATGTTGGCCAGTATGGTCTTGATCTCGATCTCATGCTCCACCTGCTTCGCCCTCCCAAAGTGCTGGGATTACAGGTGTTAGCCACTGCACCCGGCCTGTTCTGCTATTTTCATTCCTCCTACCTATCAAAAGACAAAGTGACTTACATGTTGCCGCCAGTCTTATTAAAAAGGGTTGGTGAAAAAGTATTTGTATTTTAGTTTTTTCTCTCAAGAATAGAAAATATAGCAATATATACCTATTAGAGGGATTCAGAGAAAGCAAGTGGATTGTTTGAGTTAACACACTGTGGAAGTCTTATTAAGTCTACTTACAAGAGCAAAAAATTTCTGAGACTGGCCAGATATAACTATTGTTAACCACATGGCGGACCCTGGAGAGTCAAAGGAGCTCATCACCTAATTCACTCTCACTCTCTGCATAATCTCATTCAATGACAAAAGTGAATTTAAATACCATCTATACATTGGTGATTTCCAAATTTCTTTTTCCAGCTCTGATCTCTCCCCTGGTTTCCACTCAACACTGCATTTGGCTAATATTTAACATGTCCAAAAGAAAATGCTTGATAACACTCACCACACCTGTTACCCCCTACAGTCCCTCCATCTCAGAATCTCATCAGGCTTAAAACCTTAAATGAGTAGTTTTCAACTGGTTGACTTTGACCCCTGAGGGACAAAATGTCTGGAGACACTGGTTGTCACAATTTAAGGGGAAGTAGAGTACCTCAAGAGCATAGAGGTGTGGGATATTGCTAAACATCCTACAATGCACAGGACAGACCCCCATAACAAAAACATATCTGTTCCAAAATATCAACAGTGCTGAGGTGGAGAAATCCTACCAATGACACATCATTGCCGCCTCCCTTTCTCTTGCAATCTACATTTGATCAATGAGCAAATCCTCTTAGTATCACCTGCAAAATAAACCTAGCATCTGAACACTTCTACCACTTCCACTACTTTCATCCTGGTGCAAATTATCATTGTCTTTTAAGTAATGAAATAACGAAAACAGCCTCCTAAGGGGAGCTCAGCACACAGTCTTGTCCTCTACAGTCTGCATAACAATTAGGGTAGTCCTTTAAATTCCTAAATCAGTTCATGTCACACTTCTGCTGAAAGACCCTTCTACAGAGCAAAAGTCTAATTCCTTACAAGGCCTAAAGAGTCCTACATATTCTTCATAATCCCCCCGCCCAATCAACCACACTTTATCTCTTCCCACTTTCCCATTTGTTCCTGTGCTTTAGCCATATTTGCCTATGCTCCTCCTCAAACAGTCCGAGCACTTTCCAGCCTCAGGACCTTTGTACTTGCTGCTGTAAAGCTGTCTGGGCAACCTGAAAAGCATTTTCCCAAGAGAGTTGTAAGACTGACTTCTTTCTTTGTCAGGTCTCTGCTTAAATGACATTTACTCACTGAGGCCTTCCTTGATTTCCTGACATTAAAAACTCACCTACAGCCCCCTCTGCTACCTATCCTAGTTTATCTCCCTTTTTCCAGAGTATATATCACCATCTGATAATACATTTTGACTTTCTTCTTTGTTATGTCTGTTTCTGCCAACTGGAAGGCAGAAGCTCTTTTTGACCAGAGTTGTATTCTCAGCTCTGGAGCAATATCCAGCCCAGAGAAAGAGATTAATAAATATTTGTTGAAAATAAATTATTGCTATCCTTTCCAACTACTTCTGGGTATAAAATCCCATAAATTTCGTCTGTTTTGTAAATAAAAATGAAACTATGCTATGGTCCACCATCCGCTTTGCTATAAAGTTTTCCAAATCCTACAGTTTACAGCTTGTGTCTTTAAGCAAAAGATATAAGCAGAACCTGGCTGAACCTATTATTAATGTGTTCACTATATGAAGGCTCATTCATTCATAAGAAACTGAAGAGAGGGACAGGCACGGTGGCTCATATCTGTAATCCTAGCACTTTGGGAGGCCTAGGTGGGAGGATTATTTGAGCCCAGGAGTTTAACACCAGCCTGGGCAACATGGGGAGAGACCCCATCTCTATGAAAAGCAATAAAAATATAACATTAAAAAATTGTTTTAAAAAAGAAATTGAAAAGAAATCAGTTTTTGGCAGCAGTTTTTAAGTGTAAGCTCCATAAATGAGGTAGTGAACTCAGGGCTAATCATTGACACTGTTCAGCAAAGTATACAGTCACAGAAGACAATCAAATCAAGACATCCGGGCTGGGCTCAGTGGCTCATGCCTATAATCCCAGCACTTTGGGAGGCCGAGGCAGGCGGATCACTTGAGGTCAGGAGTTTGAAACTAGCCTGGCTAACATGATGAAACCCCATCTCTATTAAAAATATGGAACTTAACCAGGCGTGGTGGTGCACTCCTATAATCCTAGCTACTCAGGAGGCTAAGGCAGAAGAATCACTTGAGCCCGGGGGAGTTGAAGTGAGCCGAGATCACACCACTGCACTCCAGTCTGGGTAACAGAGCAAGACTCCATCTCCAAAGAAAAAAAAAAAAAAGAAAGTCAAGACATTCGAGGCAGAAGCAACATAGATCACCTACTCCATGAATTCCCAAACTCTAGTCATTCACATTCTACTTCCGTGATTTTGGCCATGGCCATGTCCTACATTTTTCCTTATAAATGGATTTACTTCTTTTACTAAGCATCCTACAAAGCAACAATTTTCATTAAATCCAGAGTTGTTCTGTATCCAATACACATTGAAATAAATATGGAACTACTAACATTTAAAATGTTTATTCTGGCCAGGCATGGTAGCTCGCGCCTATCATCCTAGCACTTTGGGAGGCTGAGGTGGGCGGATCACCTGAGGTCAGGACTTTGAGACCAGCCTGGCCAACATGGTCAAACCCCATCTCTACTTAAAATACAAAAATTAGCTGGGCGTGGTGGCGCATGCCTGTAATGCCAGCTACTGAAGAGGCTGAGGCAGGAGAATCACTTGAACCCAGGAGGCGGAAGTTGCGGTGAGCCAAGGTTGCACCACTGCACTCCAGCCGGGGTAACACAGTGAGACTCTGTCCCTCCCCACCAAAATAAATAAAATAAATAAATAAATAAAATGTTCATTTTATTGCTGGTGGTTTTCATTTTACACTTTGGGAAATGCTGAACACTCCTCATTTATAAAAAAAGAAAACAAAGTCTCAAGGAGCTTAAAACTTTACTAGATGTCAATAATTAATTAGGACCTAGACTTTCCCAGTTTGTGTTCTGGTTTCCTGCTGATCCTGAAAACACATGTTATTTTATTTGCATCACTTACATAGTATTCTGTTACCTGTGGTAATAGAAATAATTCTGTAGGTAAAATGTAAAGTGAATAGAATTAAAAGTCTCAGATGGGAGGGGATATTTTATTTTCCCTCAATAGAAATAAAGCAACTACTACGTAGCACAGTTTTTTTTCCACCAAGGCAGTTAGATATGGTTATGCAAATGAAGAGTACATCATTTTTCATTTTTCAAATAGCAGTGTATCTGCTGTTGAAAATATGTGAAAGATACAAAGGTTTGGCAGAAGTTTGGAATGTAAAAAAGGTAAGGTTTTCATACGGTGGCCACATTTTCCAAATGAAAAAAGGAAATACACTAGCTTCAGGACCAGCCGGTGGTTAACCACTACACTAGTAAAAACAAGTTAACCAAATTGCTATCAGTTGAATTATTACAGTAAATTATCTTGTCTAGTATAGTCAGGGGAAAAAAGAATGTTGGTTAAAACCATTCTTTTGAACTGACTCATTGATTGGTTTTCTGTTTATTTAGTTCCCCTTTACTATCTTTATATTTTTTTTTAATTTTACACATGTAAGTCCTGCACATCCTTTGTTTAGTTATCCTTGAGTCTCTTATTTTTTTGCCACTTTTTAAAGGTTCTGTTCAGAAATATAATTAATTTACATCTATTAACCTAGCTAACCTCTCTTATTTATCTCTAATAATTTATAGATTATTTGCAATTTTCTATGTGGAAAATCATATCATAATATGACAATTTTGTTTCTTTCATTTTAAGTCTTAGATTTTTATGCCTCTGGCTTCTCTTTTTTTTTTGGAGACAGAGTCTTGCTCTGTCACCCAGGCTCGAGTGCAGTGGCACAATTTTGGCTCACTGCAACTTCCGCCTCCTGGGCTCAAGTGATCTTCCCACCTCAGCCTCCCAAGTAGCTGTGATACCATGCCCAGCTAATTTTTGTATTTTTTGCAGAAACAGGGTTTCACTATGTTGCTCAGGCTGGTCTCAAACTTCTGGGCTCATGCGATCCACCCACCTTGGCCTCCCAAAATGCTGGGATTACAGGAGTAACACAGCACACCCAGCCTGCCTCTGGTTTCATATTACTGAACAGACTAGAGGCCCTCCAAAACAATTTTGAATTTAAACAGTAATAGTGTACATCTTTGTGTGACTCCTAATTTTTAAGTAAATGTTTCTAATGTTTGAGTGAATTAACATGTTTCTAAGTCTTGTAAAATTTCATACACAACTATCATAGTATTCTGTTCAAATGACAATGTTAACCGGAAATTTCTCAAGGTCATTGCCATATTACAATAGACAAGAGTTGGAGTGATTGCCTAACTCATAATAATTCCTTTGTTTCTGAAAATAGCTCTATATTCAAAGGAAAGTCTATGCAACATATTCTGTCCCTTTAACCTTGGGTAATTGGTCAAGCGTCTTTAAGTGACCTTAGCTGGGCCAATCAGAGCCTCTCCTACCTTTCTTTTTTTCTTTTTCTTTCTTCTTCATCTTGTCTTAAAATGAAAAACTAGACAATCCTATCTAGAAACAATTTCTGTGAGTTTTAGTACAATGCTTATGACTCACCATGTGGAAGAAGCCAGCTAACAGAATGAGGCCGATAAGCAAATGAGAGGCAAAGATAAAAAACCTCTTAGAGGCCTTAGAGTTTGTGATTCTGGCTGTTTCTTAATCCCACAAGCAATGTGGGCCCTCTCACAGATAAATGAGATGCCCCAATGTCTTTCCAACCAATTTCCTGTTTGACTTGCAAATGAGTATCCTGGGTGACACACAGATAAATCACAGGATGAAGTAACATAGCATCTTGATAAGAACCCCTAAGAGTTAGGCTTTTCAAATTATGAATCCTGATTCCAGGAAAAAGGGAACATTTATGAATAATTTGTTATTTTTAATTACTATTATAACAAGTAAAATGTAATGAACTATTTACTATAA